>NC_000006.12:161434426-161585941 GCF_000001405.40 Homo sapiens
TTTCTGCTTTGCACCCAGACTCCGTCTTCATGAAGCCAGAGCCGCCCAAGCTTCAGGAACTGGACTCCGATTCCTCAGAACAACATCCTCTCCAAGGCTGGGGTGTGCGCTGACTTGTGTAGACACAAGACTATAATGCAGACCGTTTGAGAATCAACACACAATGGGGTCTTTATTTTCCTACTTGTGTAATCGCTGAGCAAGTCATATCATCTCCTGGAGCCTTAATTTTCTCATTTGTAAAATGAGGATTTACAAAGCATCTTTCACCTGTCTCTTCAGGATTATAGCTGAAGCAGGGAAAGAAAGCTCTTTGAAAAGTTTAACGCAATTTGAAACATGAAAATCTTCAAGGTCCTAAAATTGGGGGGCATGCTGAAGGAAATTCAGTATCATTTCTTTCTGTAATATATTCATCTTTAAAAATAAAACAAAAAAAGACCACAAGTTTGGCGCGGAAAAACACCAAGGGTAACGTAGCATGTGTGTTTCTGGGAGGAAGGAGAGGGGAGGGTTAAAGAGTTCCTGGGAAGAAGCCCAACTTCTTGGCTGAAATTTACTGAAAGCCTTTGCCCGGCATGATCTTGCTCTCTTGTGCTCATGACAAAGAAATGTAACCTTTGGCCAATTGCATTTTTGTTCCACTGGTAACTAGGTTAATGTGAACAGACAGATCTGGTGAGACAGCATGGGAAGAAATAACACATGGGCTTTTGTGCAGCTGGATATAATGAAGGTAAATTGGGTGGAATTCAAAGATTTGCCAGAAAAAAGAGAGATGATTTCACTCTAAAATCATTTTGCAAGATAATATTTTACAAGGAACCTTTTGGACATGCATTATAAGCGGTTACATTCCCATTGTCCTAAAAAACTCCCTGCATAGTTGTACTCTATTTTTATCAAGCCATGCTCTGACGCCTCCTGCCTGGTTGGCGATAATCCCTAATGCAAAGGGATCGTGTGAAGGTAAGTGAAGTCGTTTTGTTAATGTTGTTTATAAAGAAGCACTGAGCTTCTACTTTGTGCAGAGAGCTTTACAAATATTCATATGAGCTTTATGAATATTTACAAATATTGGCGCATTAAAAAAATAAAATGTGTTCATTTTAAATATAATAATGTAGGTGTCATTGCTATCCCCGTTTTACCATTGCAGAAATGGAATTTCAGAGGTGTCAGGGGCCAGCTCAAGGTCACTGATGAATCAGGACCCGCTTATCCAGCTCTCTCTGCCTTCAGAGCTCTCTTGACTTTTCTGCATCACTTCCTTTACCAGGAATGATATTTAAATTATTCCAAAATGTAAAATATAGTTAGTTTTCCAGGCAGTTGTATTTATTTCTGGATTTTTTTTTCCCTAAATAAAACCTGTATCTACATGAAAACTCCTCCAGGATTTCCTTTCCTCATGAAGTGTGTGGTTTCCTCAAGGACTGCCTGGGAGGCCCTGAGGCCGACCCACTCCTCCCAGCAATGACTTGGGGAGGAGGGAGTGGGGGAAGACAGAGAGCAGGGGGGTGGGATGGGAGGGCAGAGAGGAGGGGGAGGGATGGGAGGGCAGAGAGGAGGGGGAGGGATGGGAGGGCAGAGAGGAGGGGGAGGGATGGGAGGACAGAGAGGAGGGGGTGGGATGGGAGGGCAGAGATGAAGAGGCAGAATGGGAGAGCAGAGAGCAGGGGAGGAGGATGGGAGAGACAGAGAGCAGAGGCTGGGATGGGAGGGCAGAGAGGAGGGGGCGAGATGGGAGGGCAGAGAGCAGGGGGCAGGATGGGAGGGCAGAGAGCAGAGGGTGGGATGGGAGGGCAGAGAAGAGGGGGCAAGATGTGAGGGCAGAGAGCAGGGGAGTGGAATGGGAGGGACAGAGAGCAGGGGCCGGGATGGGAGGGCAGAGAGGAGGAGGCGGGATGGGAGGGCCTGCTGTGTGCCCTCATCAGGTGGATTTCATTCGCTGGGATGGAAGAGGAGGCATGGCATAGAGACATGAAGTTCTAGAATGTTTTTGGCCACTCTCTGCAAACTCAAGACTTTTTTGGGGGGGGGTGGGCGGAGAGTGCAAATAATGCCTTTTTGGAGTTGTAATTGCTCCCTGGGAGGGTTAAATTTTTAATGATTTGTAATGTCCTGGTAGGTTCCTGCATTCATGAACTGCTTGGGTGAATGGCTGTGATTTGGAAGTGAGGATGGGAGAGAAAGAGAGAAAGGCATGATGGGAACGTGGGTCAAATTGAAACTCCTGCTCTGACCTCATCCCTTCCGGGGGATGACTCTTATTATCCTGGTTGGCTACTTGCAGGCATGTCTATACACAGGCCACCTGGATTAAGAGCCATTCCTCAGGGTCTCCTGGCTATTGAAATGTCTGTATCTGTAAGAGTAGCTTTCAGTGTCTGAAATTGGCCTTTCCTCTCTCTCTATGTGTTAGGTTCCACCTGGTATTCACTTAGGGAGACCGGTCACCCTCTGCAGCTCTGTCTCACTACTGGGTACAGTGAAGAGGTTTACAAGCTTGGTAGCAGTGCCTATGAAAATAACAACTAGGATGCTTCTGTTACCATCACAGTCACCCCCATTATCCAAGGGGGATACGTTCCCAGACCCTCAGTGTATGCTGAAATCACGGGTAGTACCGACCCTATATATGCTGTTTTTTCCTACACATACATGCCTATTACGAAGCTTAACTTATAAATTAAGCAAAGTAAGACATTCACAACAGTGCTACAGCAGAGCAGGTATAATGGTGCGAGGACCACGACACAAGCTACGTGAATGTGGACTCCCGCTCTCTCTAAATATCTCATTGTCCTGCGCTCATCCTTCTTCTTGTGATCTATAGCTCTGCTATCCCAGATGGCTACTAAGTGACTTCTGGGCGCGTGGTGTCTACAGCGTGGAGATGCCAGACAAAGGGAGGATCCACATCCAGGTGGGAGGGTGTGAGATTTCATCGCACAACTCAGAACAGTGAGCAATTTAAAACTTAGGAAGTGTTGAGCTGGTATTTTCCATTTAATATCTTCGGGCCTCGGTTGACTGTGAGTACCAGAGACTGCAGGAATCGAAACCATGGATAAGCGGGGACTCCTGTATGCGCTTTGGCAGTGACTGGTGGCGTGGATGCCACAAGGCAGGGGAGCCTGGGCTAGGCTGGTTGCTGTCTGGAAAAGGGGCCCCCTTTGGCTTTTTACACAGGTATGGCCAAGGGATGTGACCTCACCTGAGCTGGGACAGGCTGTGTATAAAAACCAAGCATCATAATTCTGACATCGTATATTAATGTGTTCCTGAAAGGAATATTAAATAATGCCTTTCTCAAAGTAGTAACATTAGTGTATCTACTAAGCTCACCTAAGCAGGGCTAGTCTGTGACATGCAGAAAATAAGCATAACGTAGTCAAAGGCATATTTTGAAAGTGACCATTATGCAACTATTAAAATAAATAATACCTTTCCCCAAATAGGAACACTAGTATATCTACCAAAGGCAGGTTGCTGGTGACTACTTGATTGGTAAACATTTGTTTATTCTTCCCTTGTAATTGACACAGTAATTATATGAGCCCACATCTATCCTCATCCGTTTAAATACAGAGCTGGTGTGAGTCGTACTAAGTCAGGATGATGGTATGTGGGTCCGTGATGCTATATTCCATGGGTTAATATAATCTGCACATCATTTAACTAATCCACTGAGGGAGCTGGTCTGTCCCAGAAGTTTTGTTATTAAATGGAATAGTCAATGTTCTTGTTTTCTTACAAATTCACTTACAGGGAGAATTCTGTTAATTTTTTTTTTTTTTTTTTTTTGAGACAGAGTCTTGCTCTGTCTCCAGGCTGGATTGCAATGGCGTGATCTCGACTCACTGCAACCTCCGCCTCCTGGGTTCAAGTGATTCTCCTGCCTCAGCCTCCTGAGGAGCTAGAACTACAGGCACACACCACCACGCCCAGCTATTTTTTGTATTTTTAGTAGAGATGGGGTTTCACCATGTTGGCCAAGATGGTCTCTGTCTCTTGACCTCGTAATCCGCCCACCTTAGCCTCCCAAGGTGCTGGGATTACAGGCATCAGCCACTGCGCCCGGCTGAATTCTGTTAAATTTTACATACAGCATGTAGGGCAGAAGACATACTTTAAACTCATAGGTTTTCTTACTTTCACTCAGAAGGGAAGGGAAAACAGTACAATTCGGCGAAATAGGAAATCTAAATCTTTCAATGCATGGGTCATGTGGAAACCGAGAGAGAGAAGAAAATCGAAAAATAGATGATGGATGTTGTTAAGGAATTAGTAAACCGTTAAGTGCTCTATCATTATTAGATATTCGGGTGATCATCCCGCATGTAGCTATTTGACCAATGCTGCTTGTAAATTGGCTTAGGAAAATTAACATACATTTTATTAAACTGACGAGTATGCCTTTTACTGAAAGCAAGGAATAGACATAGCCATTTTGTTTAAGAAATATAAGCACATGAGAGGCTTAAAAAGGTAGGGGTTGTATGTTCTCAGCACTGCAGCTAAATTCTTAAATGGAAACTGTTCTTTTAGCAGTTTCAGAGTAGGCTATCTCAAGCTGATTGCTACAGACTCAAATTTTAAGTCGCATTTCTTTCAGAAACAGAAGGAAAGTCAATCTCACTTTCGAAAAGAGAAAGTAAGGTGACCCTTGTCATAGTAACATAATGCAGCAGGTCCCAGGTGTAACCCGGAGGAAAAGGCAGACAAGGTCCTGCGATGCCGCAGCTGAAAGGAAGCTGACGCCAACGGGCTTCTCAGAAGAACAATGACTCATTAGTCCCGGGCTCACGGCAGATGCGGTCTCCCAACAACTGGCCTCCCTCCAAAAACATGGAGGAAATCAAGAGGGCAGAGCCGGGAAGGAGGCTGCATCCCTCGCCTGATGGGGAGCACTCCTAGCAGGCACAGGGTAATCAGAAAAGTGCTTTGGAATCACAAAATGAAAAAACAAGTGTCAGCTGTGGGAGATGTAGAAATGCAAATAAGTACGAATGCAAATAGGCCGGATAAATGGCAGTGTGCAATCACCCAAAGCTCTGTTTACAACCCGAAGGCAGCTCCGTCTGTAATTATCTGGGCGCCATTAACTGCGTGGGAGCAGCTCTCAACGGGTACAAGAGAGATACCACCAGAAGTGAAATGTCCTCTCTCCCGTGATGAAGCCAGATCTCCGAGCGATTCCATCTACACTGAACTAAACCGGTTTGTGCCAAAGAGCTAGAAGTGTACCTTTGGTGAAACAAGGAAGCTAGATTTTTTTTTATTGCTTACTGCGCATCTGAACGTAATTCTTGCCATTAATTAAGAAAACAGATGATAAGAGATTTGGCTTCAATAAACATGTACTGAAAGCTACCACATCATTGAGTTTAATTATGCAAGCAATCTCGTGGGGCAGGTACTATGAGCTCAGATAGACTTGGTCAAGGTCGTCCCAGTAGAGCTGAGATTCGAGCATCAGTATTTTGGGCCTAGGTTTTTTTGTTTTTTGTTTTGTTTTGTTTTTTGTTTTTTTTTTTTGACGGAGTCTCACTCTGCCGCCCAGGCTGGAGTGCAGTGGCGCGATCTCGGCTCACTGCAAGCTCCACCTCCCGGGTTCATGCTACTCTCCTGCCTCAGCCTCCTGAGTAGCTGGGACTACAGGCGCCCACCACCACGCCCGGCTAATTTTTTTTGGTATTTTTAGTAGAGACGGGGTTTCACCGTGTTAGCCAGGATGCTCTCCATCTCCTGACCTCGTGATCCGCCCGTCTCGGCCTCCCAAAGTGCTGGGATTACAGGTGTGAGACACTGCGCCTGGCCTGGCCCTAAGTTTTTACCCTTCCCATTATGTCAGAAGTTCTCAGTTGACAATGTCTGGAGACATTTTTCACTGTCACACTACAGAGTGCCACTGGTGTCTAGCAGACAGAGGCCAGAGACTCTGCTAAACATCCTACAATGCAAAGAACAGTCCCCCTGACAAAGGATTATCCCACCCCAAATATCAAGAATGCTGACACGGAGGTTGAGAAGCCTGGCATTTCCCCATTGCTGCCTCTGGGAGGCTGCCTCTCGGGATAGATTGAATTGTTCTGCAAAGACATGGTCGGCAGACACAGAGGGTTCCCTCACCAGGGGTCTGGGAGTTGCTGGAAATGGATAAGAAAATCCTAGTTCTACCTCGCAGACAGGGAGGAAGTGAAGAGGTGAGGCAGTAAAAATTCATAACATATCTATCACAAATGCATTCTGAGATTGCTTGGATCTAAATTGCCCTTTCCAAACCCAAGAGATATTTCCAATGCCACCTGAAGGTCCTGAGAGCTCCCTGACATCATTCAGGACTGAAGGTAGAAAGTAGAATGGCCCTGGGTTTTCTGAGGGTTCTTTATTTGTCTTCGAGAATATTAAAGACCAGCATCTCTCCAGAATACAAATAAGAGTCTAATGTGATAAGAGGCTGAACTGAAGGTGTCCCTAGAAAATTTAAGACTAAAATGTCAGCTGAAAGACAAAGAGAAAGATGGGATTGTTCTTGCAAAATCTCATTGGTAAAGAGAGAGAGGATTTTCCTAACAAAAATGTTCTGAACTACAAGCATCTCAGAGGGATTTTTGAATTTTGGCCAGCTAAACACCATCAGGGGTTCTGGGGGGTTAGTCAAATAAAGTCAGAAAGGGCCTATCTGCGGCACAAAACACAGCACAGCCAAAGCTGTGGCCACCGCAGGAGGAGCAGGAGAGAACCTGGTGAGGAGCAAGAAAGAGCAGCTCAGCTCTGCGGAGAAGCATGGTGCTCAGCCATCACTGCTCGAGCGTGAAGAGAAGCGCAGTCCATGGCAGTTTGGGATGTGGTTGGAAGCTCTGCATCACAGTTCACATACTTACTAATTTTGTTGATTTGTGAGCTACAGAAAGAGTCTGGGGTCCTGTCCAGGTGCGGTGGTTCATGCCTACAATCCCAGCACTTTGGGAGGCCAAGGCGGGCGGATCACTTGAGGTCAGGAGTTTGAAACCAGCCTGGCCAACGTGGTGAAACCCCGTATCTACTAAAAATACAAAAATTTGCTGGGCGTGGTGGCACGTGCCTGTGATCCCAGCTACTCGGGAGGCCAAGGCAGGAGAATCACTTGAACCTGGGAGGTGGAGGTTGCAGTGAGCTGAGATCATGCCACTGCACTCCAGCCTGGGCAACAGAGCAAGACTCTGTCTCTTAAAAAAAAAAAAAAAAAAAAAAAAAGGATCTGAGGATCTGGGGTCCTGAGAGCTCCAGTTCTTCCCCGCAGTTCCCAGAGCTGCTCCTGCTGATACAGGTTCTGCTGCCAAGGCATCCCAGGGGCCTCAGGGTCCCAGGAAGGGCCAAGGCTGCAGCTGCCACCTGCCTGGGGGCTCCTCGGCCATCCGGCATCTTCCCTCCCTCCATCCCTGGCCTGCTGTTCTGAGTCTCTGAGAAGAGCGTCTGGCGGCTGGCAAAGGGGCTACCATGGAGGAATGGTCTTCAGGAAGTGGATAAAGCTGGCCCTGCCTCATGCCAATCAGCCCAGCAAGCAGGGAGGACATCGCCAATGAGTTTCTGGTTTTCACTTCAGAAGTTATAGAGACGATGTAAGATGAAATACTGTTCAGTGGGCTAATGCAGCCACACGAGTGAGTTTTATTTTCATCCCTACTTTAATAAACATACATGTGCCAAGCTGGCTCTGAATTATTTAAAATTACAGCAGTCAGAAGAGAGACCTTCTCAAAGTCTGTCAGAAAGATTTTTAATCATCTTTAAGTAAACTTCAATTTCTCTGAAATTGAAGGAGAATTATTTCTCCACTTCAAAAGTCAGTACAGAGCCATTGAAGGGGCTTTCCACCTCCTACGATAAGTAAAAACATAAAATGATTAGCACAAAAAATACACCATGAAATGAGTTTAAAGTCCTTAATCTTGAAGGCTAGATTTAAGACACTATTCTTACTGTCCACAAACAGGTTTACTTTAGTGATCATAACAAATGGCTTTTATTCAGAACCATTACTCAGTATGATTTTAAAATCTCGGGCTTCATCTTTTGGATAATTCACATGACCTTCTCCTTAGTGGGCGAGTACAAGAAGGCACTGAATAGCGTGCCGTTCCGCACCACCAAGCGGAAGGGCAGCACTGCTTGTATCTAAGGTGGCGACCTGGACCAAGGGTGGCCTTCGCTGTCTTGGACTGGACGGGCTGGACTCCCAGCTGAAGGTGGCTTGGAATTTAGCTGTTCCTTCGGGGCCCCGCTTACACACCAACACCCATGAATGCTTTTCAACGAAGTTGCTAGAATGCAGCCGTGGAGACGAACAGCTTACCGAGAGCCTCTGCCAGGAAGCAAAAGAGAGGTTCTCTTCCCTTTCATTTTGGACATCGTAACAACTAAACATAACATTTATATCACTATCTGTCAGCAGTTTAACATAAACCCTCTCACTTACTGCCAATGTGTCCACGCTGCTCCTCAGGCAAGCCATTCTCCCCAGTGCACAGATGAGGAAATCGGGGCTCTGAGAGGTTAACTGACCTGCTCGAGGTGAAGAAAATGAGTAGGGATTAGAATCAGGGAGCGAGGCCGGGCGCGGTGGCTCATGCTTGTAATACCAGCACTTTGGGAGGCCAAGGCGGGTGGATCACCTGAGGTCGGGAGTTCGAGGCCAGCCTGACCAACATGGAAAAACCCCATCTCTACTAAAAATACAAAATTAGCTGGGTGTGGTGGTGGTGCATGCCTGTAATCCCAGCTACTTGGGAGGCTGAGGCAGGAGAATTGCTTGAACCTGGGAGGCAGAGGTTGCAGTGAGCCAAGATTATACCACTGCACTCCAGCCTGGGTGACAGAGCAAGACTCCGTCTCAAAAAAAAAAAAAAAAAATCAGGGAGTGAAGTTCCTCCAACACGCGTGGTCTTATACTATGTCACTGTGACTTACCACATGCCCTGCATGGGGCGGGGGAACTGGCGTGCATTGCCTAAATCAAGCGCAGGAGTTTGATGGTACCACGAAGCGCCACAGGGTGTGGGAGCCTGAGAGGTACTCACGCAATGCCCGCTGGAAGATAAGTTCATTGTCGCACAGACTTTGTAACATTGTAAGGAAAGAAGCCTGACAGTAGTTTTACAAATCACACCATATAAATTATTAATGGTAAATAGATAACCCAGAGTGGACAGTACATACTGCAATTTATAAGAACAATCAGTTTTTTTAAATGGTCATAACCATTTAAAAAAAAAGAAAAAAAGAGAAAGAAATCCTCCGCAGTCATTAGTTCAGTCAGTTTTACCTTTGGTAGAAACAAGTGTGCTTCAGCTGCTAATATTACTCCTGCCTAAACTGATGCCCCGGTAGGCAGAGCCAAGGGGTTAATGGAAAGAGTGGAGCACGCTGAGCATTTTGCCATCACAGATGCCTCTCTAAACGTCTCTAGCTCAAGTAATAACGGAGCTGCCTAATTGCAGTCATTAAGGAGCCTGTGACTTTAAATGACAAAGGTAGAGATGCTGGCATCAGCAGCCTGTTAGCATTTAATTTACATGAAATTCGATTCAGTGTGCACGAACTAACTAGGAGGCGCCAGGCTTAGGCCTTAGGCAGACAAAGAGCAAAAGTGTGGGAGGCTGGGTGGGGCCGGTGAGCTCTGGAGCTTCTGGCTCCTGGACTGGGGGACTGGGAATCGGCCAGGCCAGGCCCAGCGGGTGGGAGCTGCAGATACCACTTCTCCAGGACCCATCCCAGGGCAGCTTCATGGGATGGGCCTGGCTGAGTGAGCTTCCTAAGGAAATCCTCTTGCCTGGAAGAGGCTCCCAATCATCTGTCAACTTGTCTTTCCTATTTAGCAAACGATTGAGATTCTCTTCCTTAAAGACACATTCTCTGATGAACAGAATGTGCTCTGTAATGGGTTTAGCCAAAGCATCCCCACCACCTTCCTCCAGGAATGTGTATGTCTGTGTGAAGTCCTCAAGGTCATTAGATCTCATGAATTTACTCCGGCATTTCCATTTCCATGCATGCTTTTTCCATTTAGACTAAACTAGCGCTTGGGGTGCTTGCCATGCTCCAAGAAGTCCCTGCAGCCCCTGGTTAGTGGGAGACGCAGAGCAGGCATTCAGTCAGCAAATATTAATTGACGTGGTGAGGTTGTGCTCTGAAAAGCTGAGTTCCTCCTGAGAGGCTAATTCACTGTGCTCAGCCTGTCTGCGGGTAGCGAGGGCTCCTGAGTAACAGCGAGCTTTGCACGAGCGCTACCGCGTGGCGGTGGAAACATTTGTTCCCCTTGATGAATGAAACGGCACTCTTGACATGCTGTACGGACAGAATCTTTACATGTCGTTTATTTTGCATTTCAAATGCTTTGAAAAAAGCCTTCCCGTGGTTTTGGCCAGAGGTATTTGTTATCAGTTTAATAGATTTATTCCTGTTTTGCTAAGGTATGTAATAGTTATTTATTTTTAAAAAAAGCCAGTACCTCTCCAGTCTTCATTTTCATTTATCCTTAGCATGGTCTTTTCTAAAAAGGGCATTTGGCACAATATCTTTTTTTGTTTTTTTAATCTCTAGGTAACCAACCCCTGCCTACATTTTACTCTGGATTCCAAGAGTAGACTGGGCTTCAGGGACCAGATGCCAGGGCTGGCACATCTGCCTAAAACCCATAATTCTTGAACTTGACGTGCTCAGCCTCTCCAAAGCCGCGGCGCTGACACAGCTCCCCCTGCACGAGTGTACAGCAGTCAGACAGGAACGGGGAGAGGGGGCTCAACTTTCTGACGGCCACTTAGAGGCTGCCTGACCACAAAGACAGGACTGTAAAACATAGACCGCATGTGACCTGCTGGTGCTCGGCACTGACCCAGGGGAGGAGGGCCACTTGGGCTGGAATGCAGTTGCTGGGGGCTCATGAGGGGCTCAGTGGTGCCCCTGGCCACCGAGTCAAGCAGCGTAGATTGATCAGAGGAGCTGAGAGCTGAGGCCCACCCTCCCCTTTCTCCTACACATGGACACCTCTGAGTGGAATAAGGGAAGACTGTCCTTTCTCCAAGCTTGAAGGAAGATGACTGTGACTCTTTTCCTGGACTTCAAGGCATCGAAGTGTCAGCTGGCTGCCATCCCAGCGTCTGACAGGGCAGCAGGAGAAAGAGGCCACCTGTATCATCCACCCGTGCTGCAGCTGAATGGGATCGGTGCAGCATGATAGAGGCCAGCTGCCCCGCACCAGGTCTGCGTGTCACAGGGCAGAGTGCATGGTCTCCCTTCACGTGCGGGGCCAGGTGACTGCACAGAGTGATGAGCTGGGCCCACTTTCCTGCTATTGGCCGCCAGCAAAGAATACAAGGGGTTTCCCTTCCCTTCCCTTCCCTTCCCTTCCCTTCCCTTCCCTATCGACAGCCTTGCAGGGTGGTGGTTTCCTTTGCCCGGAGAGTTCAGAGGCCTTAGTTCTGGAAAGCCTCCTGTGGGGAGATGGAGTGGCGGGGATAGGGACCAGAGCAGAGAGGGCAGCAGCATAAACAAAGAGGAGAGGCAAACTGTTTGAGCCCAGGAGTTTGAGACCAGCCTGGGCAACATGGTGAAACCCTGTCTCTATAAAAAATATAAAACTTAGCTGGGTGTGGTGGCACATGCCTATGGTCCCAGGTATCTGGAGCATGGGGTGGTGGTGGGGTGGTGGGAGGATCATCTGAGCCTGGGGAGGTCGAGGCCACAGTAAGCTAGGATTGTATCACTGCACTCCAGCCTTGGCAACAGAGAGAGATCTTATCTCAGAACAAAACAAAAAAATTGGAGAAGGGATTTCTCTGATTTCTCCCTTTGGGAAGGGAGGCTTGGAGGCTGCCTGGGGCTGAGCAGGGAGCACCATGCTTGTAGGCCTTTGGGGAGGTTTCGAGGTCCAAGTGTGACTTAGAGGAACTGGGAGATGCCAGCAGACACTGAGACCCAAAGGGGCCTGGCTTGGGACCTATGCAGCTGTGGGAGGGGAAAGGCCCTCCCCGCTACCAGATGCAGACTCTGGTGCCCTGAAGCCTGGCGTCTGAGCCAGATCTGACTTTGTGTAGAAGCATAAAAGGAGTAGGATGTTTGTGATGGCTGAGCGTCATGGAGGAATTCATACCTGTTCCTGGAGCAATCTATTTTTAACCTTGTTAACCTGAACTGTACTTTAAGATTGAAACTAAATGCAGCCTCTTTTCTACCCATGATTTATTAGACCTCCCCTTTCTATCAAATTAAAGCTCTGCACAAACGAAACAATTCATCCTCATCTAATTTATAACCATCCTCCCACACTAGGAATATGGAGCCAGGAATGAGGGAGGTTCACGTGGGAGGTGGCAACTGCAGAACAGACAGCTCTTTGGATTTCTTTAAATTGCCATTTAATTCCATCCATCAACCCATTTTTCTGCTGTATACATAGAAAAGGACAACAGCCACTCCCTCAACCAAATATCCCTACATTCAGTTAAAAGCTACTCTGTACCCCAGGACATGGGAGCAGCTCCTATCCTTCCCAGGTGAAAAAGTGGGCTTTTTTTCCCCCTTAAGGCTAAATAGGATTTCTTTTCTGTTAGCTATGGGTAGGTGACTTCTTAATGATCTTTAAGGAAAGAAGTCAATACAAGGAAAATATCCTTTTTTAATCCCATTTTCCTTCTCACCCCACACTGAGCGTTACTATAGCAACATCTTTCCTGCTACTAGGACAGTTAAGTCCCCCTGTGAAGTTAACCGAAAGCTGCTTTTTCACTCAGAGAATGGGCTGCTGTTCATTGACCAGCTTTTCCTGCGTGTCTAAATTCTTCGGTTCTCTCTGACATGCTCAATCTAGGGTTTCCCGCGGCTAAACCCTAAAATTCACTTCGAAACTCCTAACAGCAGAATTCCCCAAACCTTTTCAGAACTGAACTCATTAGAAATGAATTTACATTTTGATTTAGTTATAAATAACTTTTCTTCTGTGTATTGGTTTAAGTTTAGAAAAGGCCCCCTGTAAAGAAGACAAGTTGGAGAATAATCTCCCATATTCCTCTGCCATCCTTTCTTTCCTTCCTTTCCTTGAGATGGAGTCTCTCTCTGTCGCCCAGGCTGGAGTGCAGTGGAGTGATCTCAGCTCACTGCAACCTCCGCCTCCCGGGTTCAAGCGATGCTCCTGCCTCAGCCTCCCGAGTAGCTGGGACTACAGGCATGCACCACCATGCCTGGCTAATTTTTTGTATTTTTAGTAGACACAGCGTTTCACCGTGTAAGCTAGGATGGTCTCGATCTCCTGACCTCATGATCAGCCCGCCTCGGCCTCCCAATGTGCTGGGATTACAGGTATGAGCCACCGTGGCTGGCCTCCTTTTTCTTTTAAACACATACATACATATATGTAAAAACAAAAGAAAATTTCAGGACCTTCCAAATTTCACAGGCCTAGAGGAAAGTTAAGCCCTGGAAATGGAGTTGTGAGAGCAGGCTGTTTTTTCTCTCTGGTGCGTGACCACTGCTTCCTGATTTTTGTGTTGAGATCTTAGACCTTAACCAGACTTATAGCCTTCATTCAAACCAGACTGAATGATGTGGGAGGTAGGGACCTTGGTCATTGTTATCTCTTTATAATAAAATGCTAAGCAACCCCCTTAGAGTGAAGTCAACAGTAGCCAATCAAATCTTACATCTGTGTGTTAGCCGTTGTATGGAAAACACCGTGATTCTGTTCAGCGCCTCCCTTTTGCCTCCATAAAAGATCTTCACTTTTCCCCACACCGTAATATTTCACTGGATTCTTGGAATATCAGAAATTCATCATTCTTTGGTGTCTGCGTATCTCTGAATGGCCACTCCCATGCAGCCCTTGAATGAATTACTTAACTGGATCCTAAGCATTTTGATTATTTTAGATGGACATATACACATGCATATACACGTATGTGTACATACACATATGTAATGAAATTGTTCCAAAACACAGAAAATACAAAGACTAATGTAATCAGGACTCACATATCCACATCTTAGATTTAATGCTGATTTCGGGGGGCATTTTTGCTTCAAATTTGTAAAAAGCAAAGGTTACAGACATAAAGATCTTGCGATTCTCTTATCCCAGTTTCTTCCGTCTTTCTTCTCTTCTTTCTCTTTCTCTGTCCCCCGAGGTAGCATCTATGCTGACGTTCCCGTATATCTTTTCCATCCAAATATTTGCATTTTTGCTACACATTACGTGCAAGGCTTTTATCTGCTTCCTCCTAATTTGTGGGGGCAAGAGGCTAGACATCTCTGGCTGGAAAGGCACTCCCTGCAGATCTGGGAAGCCATGAGCCACAGGAGCATTAGCTGTTCCTCTACCCTTTCGTTTCTTTGCTGGACAATCCTTATAAGCTGGAGTCCAAGTTAACCTTCCCAAATGAGTGGCACTATTATTTTAAAATAAAAGCGTTCAAGGTAGAGGATGACTTTGGGACTCTGGCAACACAGGAAGCCCAGTGTGTTCTCCCCAAGGTCACATTAAAAAGGTGGTGCATCTGAGATGGTGACTGCTCAGAATAAAGTGATAAGGGGACAAAAGGTGGATGGCTTACTTACAGGTGTTATGAATGAGACCATCAGGGCTCGGGTAAGAACATTGTCTGGGATAAATGGTTTGTGGTTATTGATCTGGACCAACCTGATAGAAAAGAAGCTGTGTGTATTATTATTACAATTTCTTGGTTTATGCTTGCAATTTATAATTTGTATGCTCAGTCAATTCTGCCAATATAAAATAGTAATGCCCCGGTTTCAAAATCTGATATTGGATTTTGTCCCACGATTTAGCATGTCCTCTAAGCAAAATAACTGTCCAACCAGATCACTTGCCTTCAACAACTTAAAACACAAGTAACTAGGGAGAAAAACAAACAAAGAAACATAAACTCAAAGAAGGTTTCAAGATTGACATAGAGAAAAATCTTTTCTCATCTATCCGTATGTACTCTCCCACTGCTCATCGTGGGCCCCAGGGAAAGGCGATTTTATTCAAAGAAGGTAACTCTGAACGTACTCAGGGCCGTAATATGTGAAATGTCTCCCAGTGTTTGACAAAAAGACTCTCTTTTCATGTTCATATTCCATGGAAATCTTAAGTCAAAGCAACAATAAAATAAGCTGACCCATAAGTGCACGTGTTGAAGAGGCTCAGCCAAGAAAAACTGTTTGGTAGTTGCTGAAAACTGGCATCTAGACCTCAAAGAGGAAATCAGAACCAAAGTGCAGACTTGTCCCACCAGAGATGGTGGGTGTTGGACTGAGTCAGCGACAGTGAGGCACTGACTAGACTTCCGTAACCAGCCATACTTTCTAGTTTATAATGACATTCATGGTTATTGTTCTACACAGACAGGTGTAGGGAAGCAATGGGAAAGTGCAGGAAAACAGAAGCATTGGGAATGGAACATCTTTGGTTTCTCCATTTCAATGCACTGCCATGACCCCCACACCCACCCACGAGACTTTAGCTGTTCCAGAGCCAACGGTGCCTGCCTCTTTGCTGATCCATTACTCATTCTCCCTACAGCTGCCTCATAGCTTTGGCTCCCAAGAGGTAAGGTACAGGTAGTCTGGCTGCCTGCATTATCCTCCAGCCTCAAAATACATGGGGAACTGAAAATAAACAAACTGTTGATTCCTTGAGCTTAAGAAGGCCTCTTGGTGTTCCTTTATACCTTTTCGAGTCTCTCCTAAGATCAGAGAGAGGAGTGAAGAGGGGGAAGGTGTATGGCCAAAGGAGGACTTGCCCTGATTGCCACTGGCAAAGACGCTGAGCCTTAGGGACCATCCAGAGGCATGCAGGACCCCTGCTGCAGCATTCTTGAAAAATGATGTCTTCCTACGCCTCCCTGACTCAACCAGAAGCTCACAGGTAAGAACACATCCCATGTTGCGAAGCTCCATCTATTGTGAGAACTTCTGCCCTGCCGGCTGCCTCTGACATGCCACATGCAAGTGATACCATTTACCCTACTTTGCAATACATAACAATCTGCACTGGTGTTTCCAATGCCCAATTGTTTTCTTGACTTCTCCATAAGTTTCAGCATATCTATAAACCACTCATACCATGATTTACTTAATGTTTTCTTTTTCTTCCTTTTTTTTTTGAGACGGAGTCTCGCTCTGTCACCCAGGCTGGAGTGCAGTGGTGTGATCTCAGCTCACTGCAACCTCTGCCTCCCAGGTTCAAGTGATTCTCCTGCCTCAGCCTCCCGAGCAGCTGGGACTACAGGTGCCCGCCACCACACCCAGCTAATTTTTGTATTTTTAGTAGAGACAGGGTTTCACTGTGTTAGCCAGGATGGTCTCGACCTCCTGACCTCGTGATCTGCCCACCCTGGCCTCCCAAAGTGCTGGGATTACAGGCGTGAGCCACCATGCCCGGCTTGTTTTCTTAATTTAATTAAAATTATTCCAAAATAAATATCATACCATTAATGTAAATAGAAAACACTGAATTGTGTTACTTGCCACACATAGAAGACAACTGCAAAAAATCAACAATATGAATGATATGAAAGTCAAACACTTTTGCCTGTGGAAGAGCCCAGGGCCTGCATTCTTGTTTTTAAAGAGGCAGGTAAGCAGGTAATAGAGAAGCCTTGAGGACTAGAACAGAACCGATGGAAAGAGAACTGGCAAGGGGCTAACTTCTGCATGACGTGTTTCCATGTTATTTCTCTTAGGTCCCAGCACCGCAGAAAATCATCTTGAACACCTCCCAAGGCCAATCTCCCATTGCAACAAATGAACTATTAAAAACAGGGGTCTCTTTTATCCTACCGTCATCTCATTTCCAGATAAAACACCTCCAGTTTCTTCAATGACTTCCACGAGAAGACCTCTCTGGAGAGGTCTGAACATTGTCTTCTGTCAGCTCCCTCTTGATTTTGGGACCAAGCATTGAATATAAAGTTAGGATGTGGCCTGATTAGCATAGGCAGAGTACTGAGAAGCCTTCCTTGTGCCTGTCACTACACTTCCATCAACAGACTCCATCAACAGGAGGCAACGCAGCCTCAGGATACCACCTGCCCACGGCCCACCTGAGGGAACCTGCTGCCCACAGCCTCTGCTCCCAGAGGGACCTACCCAGTCCCAAAGCTGAGGCACCACCCATCCTTGAATGGCCAGAGTAACCTGTCTCAAGAATATGAGCAAGATGATTCCAAGAGAAAGTGGCAGTCAACAGTGGTTTTGTACAATGCGG
This sequence comes from Homo sapiens, assembly GCF_000001405.40. Classification (NCBI taxonomy): domain Eukaryota; kingdom Metazoa; phylum Chordata; class Mammalia; order Primates; family Hominidae; genus Homo; species Homo sapiens. The sequence goes on from NC_000006.12 coordinate 161,451,678, forward strand.
ATAAATATTAGAAAGGCCATCCAGGATGCGTCATTTGCAAGCTTGGGTGGACAGGCAGCTGCCAACAGTGACAGCAGGTGGCCCATGAGTGAAACTTAGAGAATTAGGGGACTGCTTTGGTCTTGGCAGATTTCCTGGCCAGTCCATGGAACCCTCAAAATAGGTCCCTTAATTTTGTAGAAAAATGGTGTCACCTTTAAACGTTGTAAACTACATTTATAAATTTAAGACATTCTTTTTTTTCTTTTTTCTTTTCTTTTCTTTTACTTTTTTCTTTTCTTTTCTTTTCTTTTTTTGGGATGGAGTCTCACTCTGTTGCCCAGACTGGAGTGCAGTGGCATGATCTTGGCTCACTGCACCCTCCCCCTCCCGGGTTCAAGCGATTCTCCTTCCTCAGCCTCCTGAGTAGCTGGGATTACAGGCGCACCACCACACCCAGCTAATTTTTGTATTTTTAGTAGAGATGGTCTTTCACCGTATTGGCTAGGCTGGTGTCGAAGTCCTGATCTCAAGTGATCCCACCTCGGCCTCCCAAAATGCTGAGATTACAGGCATGAGCCACTGCGCCCGGCCTTAACACACTCTTAAGTACTTCCAAAGTCTGATTTAAAAAATAGTTTTGTTTTTCCTGAGGACTTAAATAACTTATAAATAAATCAAAGCAATAGATATAGTGCGCCTTAAGTTCTCTGAAAGGCTTTGATACTGTTTACAAACTTTGTCAGAGTTCAATTTAATATCCCTAGCCTCAGTCAATTACTCAATTGTGTTTCAAGCTAAGTCACAAGGCTGAGCTGTTTCACTAATTAACCACATTCCTTTAGAAGTTCAAGTATGTATAAATTCCTTAATACAAAATATTGGTTCTGTGTTTTTTAATTCTTTAAAACATTTCTCTACTTAATTCTAAATCTTTTAGGGTGAAAGATGATTAGCTACTAAGGAAACTATTGCACCATCCCACACAACTATTTTAGGTGATGTTCCTGTATTATTTTTGGGATTGTCCTCTCAATTTGCTTGTAGTTGCGTTATAATCAAAACGTTTAGCTGGGGTGCTGACTAGATTCTTCATGGTGACCAAGTGGGTTCCATGGAGCCCTATTTATAGTTGCCATAGTGATGATTCCATAACCCACAGGCGAGGGGCAGGGAGCCCTTGACTTTAAATCCAAATTCTCTCTCTCTCTCTCTCTAATATCATATATATTTTATATATATATAAAATACCTCCATTCAAGTCACTTGGCAGAATTTTGCACTATTGTGCTCTTAAGATATAAATATATTTCCATCTCAAGGTCACGTCAGGCTTAATAAAATTCTGTATTGTCAAAGTCTATACAGGACCACACACATTCTTCGTGTATTCAATCGCATTTTTGATATCTCTCATAGCCATTTTTGATAGTTGCAAATTCTAAGGCCATTCATTCCCACAATCTATTTGATGAAAGTTTTTAAAAAATGGAATATTCAATCCTTTATAGCCAATGAGGGCCTGAGCCTTGAACCAGTGAACAGTACTGAGTAGCAGTTAGGAGGGCGGGGAGTCAGACTGCCTGGGCTTAACGTCGTGGCTCTGTCACTCATTTCGTACTCTTAATCATCATGCTATAGAAACTCCCACAATGTGTGTGTGTGCATGTGTTATTAAATCCTTCAGATACTTCTCAGACTCTTGCCTGTGTAGATAAACAACGTGTGTTTTCTATCACCTTGGCTTGTCTCTAGTACCTGGTTTTTTAACCAAACATTACTCTGGGTGTTGTGGTGAAGGTATGTTGTAGATGGGGTTAAAATCTACAATCAGTGGGATTGCCCTTGATAATCTTAACGGGCCTCATCCATTTAGTTGAAAGGCCTTAACAGGTTTCTCAGAGGAAGAAATTCTGTTTCAAGATTACAACATCAGCTCCTGCTCCGTTCCCAACCTTCTGGCCCGCCCTGTAGGATTCAGACTTGGGGGCCTCCATGGCTATGTAAGTCAATTCTTTGAAATAAAGAGAACTCCAACTAATGCACAACGGTCGGTCCATCCCTCCCTCCCTCCCTCCCTCCCTTCCTTCCTCCCTTCCTTCCTTTCCTCCTCCCCTCCCCTCCCCTCCCCTTCCCCTCTCCCCAAATTCAAAAAAAGTTAACTTTATGATTACCCTTTCTGGGAATACTAGTTGTTACTATACACATTATTCACATAGAAAAATCAGTAATGTACCAGTTGGTAGTTGAATTCTTCAGAGGGAAAGATTAGTATCTTATTTTTTATTTAATGAGATGAGGAACTAAAAGAGCATTACTATTCTTTACTACAATATATAACAGAAGTGTTTTCTTGGTGTCTGCAATGCAAATTCTGATGTCAGTAAATACATTGAGAGACTAATTTGTCAAGCAAGCACAGACCACACATGGTTTCTTTTTATTTCTTTCTTTCTGAGATGGAAGGAAACCTAAAAGTAACAATGTACACAACTCGCTAGGGTTGCCAGCAGCATTTTGGCGATGTCCCCTTGGGTCACAGAACGGCAGCATGGGTTCTATAGGTCGGGGTGGCATTAGCACTGACGGCACATAGCCTGTGTCTTTTGAGCTCACTTTCCATGTTATCCTAGGTCCTGTGAAAGAAAGACCTCAGGCTCACGTTATTAGATCCTTGGGTAATTCTCCATACTCTGAAGTTCTTGAAGAAGGCACTGGCTGGGGTTAGGGTGGCTTTGGGAAACCCTTGACTGCTTGAGGAATCCTTTCCAATTCCTTCCTTAACCAGGCAGGAGGAACAGCAGTTCATTCGTGGTCTTGAGTCCAGGTTCCAGGTTCTAAGCTTGGTCTATGCTTTTGGTGTGCTCTCTAACTCAATGATAATGATAGTCATGGAAGTTTCTTAATATCTGGGGTTTTGAAACTGTTAGTTCTTGGAGCAAGCCCAAGTTTATTTTGGGGGAACTTTGCGCCAGCATTGTAGTTATACTGAAATTTAGAATATGTGGGTTGAAAAGCACCAAAGCCAGTGTGAGAAATCCAGCCCACCATTAGGGCTACTGAAGTCCCATTAGGTTGACTACTTTCTGGAGGCCAATTGCACTTAACTTGGATTCCTGAGTGACTTTCTCTGGTCCATAACTTCATCTAGGTCACTGCTGAGACATCACCTCTCCAGTAAAACCATCTAGCCTGTCTAAAGTCATCCTTCCACTCCCCCAGTTGTCTCAGTTTCTCTGTCTTTTCTTCCCCAGCTATATTTTTCTTCATAACACTGGTTTCTCTAGACATTATATTACATCTAGATTTGTCATATCCTGTCTCTCCTATTAGAACATAGACTTCTTGAGACGATGGACTGTCAGTTTGGTTTAATTTGACACGTGTTTTTTTTTTTTTTGAGATGGAGTCTCACTCTGTCGCCCAGGCTGGAGTGCAGTGGTATGATCTCGGCTCACTGCAACCTCTGCCCCCCGGGTTCAAGCAATGCTCCTGCCTCAGCCTCCTGAGTAGCTGGAATTACAGGCGCCTGCCACCATGCCCGACTAATTTTTGTATTTTTAGTAGAGACGGAGTTTCACAATCTTGGCCAGGCTGGTCTTGAACTCCTGACCTTGTGATCCACCTGCCTCGGCCTCCTAAAGTGCTGGGATTACAGATGTGAGCCACCACGCCCGGCCTGACACGCTGTGTTCTAAACACCCAGCACAATGGCCAGCATGCAGAAAACACTGCAGAAATATTTGCTGCATGAATGACTTGCTATTTACATCAGCCTACTAAATGCTACCCAGTGAGTAGAAAAATTTCAAATGAAAGCATCCTAATCATTCCTTTTTTTATAGAGGCCTATCAGTGTAGGCTATTCTAGTGGAGGAAATCACATCCGGTCCCTGGTGCCATGAAGTTACAGAAATATTAGGTGCAGGCCAGGTGCAGGGGCTCACGCCTGTAATCCCAGCACTTTGGGAGGCTGACGCGGGCAGATCACAAGGTCAGGAGACCGAGACCATCTTGGCCAACATGGTGAAACCCCATCTCTACTAAATACAAAAAATTAGCCAGGTATGGTGGCACATGTCTGTAATCCCAGCTACTTGGGAGGCTGAGGCAAGGGAATCTCTCGAACCCGGGAGGCGGAGGTTGTGGTGAGCTGAGATCGCGCCACTGCACTCCAGCCTGGCGACACAGCAAGACTCCGTCTCAAAAAAAAAAAAAAAAAAATTAGGTGCATACAAATAAATACATATACACATACTTTAACTCATATCAACATATTATAGAGAAACAAATATTGAAAAGAATTTCAAGGCTGGCCATGTGTGTTTATAGTTTCTTCCAGTTCAAAATCACTATGAAAAAATGTTTTCCTAAGGAGAACGTTGGCCTCTAGGGGAAGCAAAGGGCTCCTGTGTTGTGATGGTTAATATTGAGTGTCAACTTGATTGGATTGAAGGACGCAAAGTATTGTTCCTGGGTGTGTCTGTGAGGGTGTTGCCAAAGGAGATTAACATTTGAGTCAGTGGGACTGGGAGAGGCAGACCCACCCTCAGTCAGGATGGGCGAAATTGAATCGGCTGCCAGTGCAGCTAAGATAAAAGCAGGCAGAAGGGTGTGGAAGGCCTAGACTGGCTGAGTCTTCCGGCTTTCAAATTTCTCTCGCATTGAAAGCTTCCTGCCCTGGAACATCAGACTCCAAGTTCTTCAGCTTTTGGACTCTTGGACCTACACCAGTGGTTTGCCAGGGGCTCTCAGGCCTTTGGCCACAGACTGAAGGCTGCACTGTCGGCTTCCCTACTTTTGAGGTTTTGGGAGTCAGACCGGCTTCCTTGCTCCTCAGCTTGCAGACAGTCTATTGTGGGACTTCTCCTTGTGATCGTGTGAGTCAATTCTCCTTAATAAATGCCCCTTCATATATTCATCTATCCAATTAGTTCTGTCCCTCTAGAGAACCCTGACTAATAATCTCCCACATCACCAGCTTGAATCCTGCCCAAGAATAAAGAGGATCAAGGACAGGGCACTGAACTGTACCAAAAGAAAGCTGCTCTTTGGGTTTGCGAATGCTGACCTGGGTCTGCTTTGTATGGGTGGTCAGAGGGTGAAAGGGTCTGGGGTACATGCACATGACCCTTCCTCTTCCTCTTCCACCCACATGCCCAGAGAGCTCAGGGCTTCCTCAGGAGAAGAGATGGTCTCATTGCTCAGGGAACCTTTTCTCCTAGGCAAACAGAGGTAGTGTGGCAGCTGGAAGAGGCCTGGAGTGGTACTTGGACTTTGAAGCCAAACACTTGCCCTCTCAGAGCCTTTGCCTCCACTGTGGTCCTACCAGAGAGCTGAGTTCAGGACCTGGGTTTGGGCGTGGAAGGGCGGTGTGAGAGCAAGGCTGAATAGTCCAACTTCCTCCTTTAACAAATATCCACTGAGCGTCTTCGCTACGCAAGGCTCTCTTCCAGACCGCTTGGTTCTTTGGAGTCCAGGAGTTCTCCACTCGGTACACCCAGTTTTACCAAAGTTAAACCCATGAGATTTTGTAATAAAGCCAAGGCTAATAATAATGCATTCCATTACTTTTCCTACACATGTGTCTCTGTTAAGCACTTTGCAAGGAGGATGGGCAGCTGGGCCAATGCAGGATCCAACTATTCAAGATTCCTCCACTTACACAATATATTGACACTAACTCTGAATGCATCCCTACTGAATAGAGAACTCTAGTAATTTCTACTGAAAACATCAAATAAAAAAGCTACTACTTTAATAGAAATTACCTCTTCTAATTGCCCTACAATGATACAACTGTATTCTGAAAGGATACATGGATGTCATATAAATAACTCAAAATTCATGTTTATATTTATGTACAGTGCCTAGAACAATGATAAGACATGACTGCTGAATGTGTGGATAGATGGATGGGAGGATGAATGGATGCATGAATGAATTAATGAATGCTCTGTGATCTGAGGGCTGAAGATACATTACTGAAAACTCCAAGAAGGTCAGAAAGCAAAATCAAGGAATATGAAAATCTACTGTTAGGTACAAACGTGTCTCTAGAGAAGAGACTGGTTCTGAAAATAGGGAGAATGGGAACCACCAACTTCCTGTGTGTGTGTTACCACACTCTTAATATGAAAACATGTGTGATAAGAAGTCCAACATTTTGTAGATGACCGCACATGTAAGTTAAAGAAATAGTGGCCTTCTTTTGTCTTTCCTTTGTAGTTTTTTGGGAAAAGGACGCCAATAATCAAAAGACCTGCAGAAAAGGTGATTTGGTGTTTCAAGGGTTGTGGGCTTTTATGGGACACAAGCTGAACTGTCATGCAGACAATGACCGCCTTCTGATTTACTTGGGCTGCTCAAAACTCTGGAAAGAAAAATAGAATATCCTAGCTGTTATGGGAATACTTATAAGAAGAAAAAGAGAAATACAGCTCTTTGTACATTCAGATTCCTTTAGCTTGAAAGAAAAAGGGTAGCCTCCTTTAAGAAAACCTTTGGGTTTGACAGAACATAAATAAATCTTAGTGCAGCTGCTTATCGAGCTAAAGAAGGCCTGGTGTCTCTGCTGCCACTTACAGATTTCAGAAACGTGTTGTCATTCTTTAATCATGATCATTATTGGAGAATATGATTGAAATTTTAATTATTAAGTAGGGGGAATTGTGAAGCACTTTCATCCAGCATCTCGGGTGCCTGGTGTGATCGACCATAAGTGCAGCTGATGCAAACCTGGAAGCCGTTATCACAGCTCCCTGGCCCTCGCCGCGGTGGAGGCAGCCGTCTGTCTACCTCCTGCCGGCTGCCTGTCTCCTAAAATGTCTGCATGCTGTTTACTGCAGAGCCAGTGTTTGAACCAAATGCTCAGTAATGTGAAAACATCAATTATTTCCTTCCTACATTTAAATGAACTATGATTACCCTTGATTTAATAGCAAAGGAGCATTTCCAAGGTACAAAAACATTTCAGCCATTAAGCTCAAAGTTTGTGTTTAAAATATATGTTTGTTTTCTTCTACAGAGCAATGGGCACTAAATTTATTAGCTTCGTGCTCACCATGACAGTAACTCCATGTCTGTGGAATTCTGTAGTCTGCATGTGTTAGGCTGTGGGTAGGCAAGCTTGTCAATGGAGAAATACTGACTTTGCCAGAAATTCGTAAATTTTTAGGAAAGTGAAGAGCATATGGTCACTATGACTTGCTAGTATCCTTGGTCTAAACCTTATAATTACCAGAAGCCATTTTCATGTTTTTTTTTTTCTTTTTAAAGTGCATATCTTTATTTGGACAGCCTCAAATCCCTTCATCTTATCTGGAGGGAAGACAGGAATGAAAACCATGATAGTATCCAGGAGGGATTTTAAGGCAAGGCTGAGCTTTCTAAAGCTACAAGCACTTCCTTCCTCAGAGAGTGTCTGCTGACAGCCAGGGCCTTGTTAGTGGCCCAGTAGCCAAAAGAAGCTACTTTCAGAAGTGGTACTTAGCACCTGCCCTCAGTGATCACCATTTTTCAGGTAAGACTTGTTCTCCAGGTTAATTACAGTGGAAACCTGATCGAACTTGACAGTCAGTGTGTTTGTGGGCTTCTCTTCCTGCCAGTCTGCAACCTAAAGGAAATGCTGTGGTCTCTCTCTTAAGAATGAGAACATTCTCAGAAATGCCCTTGAAGTGACTATTAATTCCAGAATATGGTGTGAATTAAGTAATTCATTTGGTTTTAGTTTACTTTTGAGAAAGTCCAAGCTGTGCACATGTTGAAATAAATCAGAGGCCTGTTTACAAATGGAGCCACCATTTCTTAGTGTGGAGTGCAGGGACCTGGTTCTGAGCAAAGTAGTGGGAAGGATGGAATTCCCTGAATCCCTGGATCTGTTCACAGGAATGCCTAGAGCTTCTGGCACACAGGGTAGCAGGCCTTCCTGATGCCCCAGCTTCTCTGAGATCCATCCTGCTGTCAGCCCTAGAACTCCCTCACAAGCAAGCTATTTTCCCGTTTTTCTCATCGCTGTTTAGAGGTTTCCACTTATATGTAGATTTGTCCAGGGTCCTAGGAAACTAGCTAACTGGTGCCACCATAACATTTGCTATAATTATAACAGTTCAGTTATTTGGTTTTCTCTTTGTCTCCTTCTTCATAATTTAGAGGCTTTCAATGACTTACCCCTAATGGGAGATTTCTGGCCCAGAAATGGGTCAGCAGAAACTATTATATTGAAAGTTGGTTTCTTGGTGCTGCTTACATTATTTTATTTAGATAAGAAAATGGCTGTTGATATTTTGTAAAAAAAAAAATCTATTTATCCATCAAATCACATATGCTTCTTTCCTTTAATTCAACTATCCATCCATCAGTCCATCCATCCATCCATTCATCCAACCATTCAACTTTTAATGTGTCCCCACAGGGTGAAGCAGGCATGGTGCAGGAATAGTACGAACAAATATAAACAGCAATTGATCCTACCCTCAATAAGTCATCTGCTTAGAGGACAGATTTTGGTGGTAATACAACCAAAGTTTATAATAGGAATATAATCCGTGTTATTTTAGGATGTCACAGAGGTTGCAACAAAAGATTATTTTATTTAATTCTTGTTGATGGGCACCGTGTGTTTACAGAGGAGAGTGCCTTTGACCAAGATCTTGAAAAGTGGGTTAGATATTGCTTGGGAATAATGGGCAAAGGAGGTGCCATACTCCCTCTGGATAGTCTCAGGCCCAAATATCCATTTAGGATCTCTGGAATATAATGGGCTATACTTGGCATTGGAGTCATTTAGAAGGACACAGGACAAGAAGCAGCATATCAGCAGGAAGGGCCAGGGGACACTTCTCTGAACCCCCGTGATCACTTGGGTTTGGGGAAGGAGACATGCTGGTAGGTAAGGAGCAATGCTGGGGTAGAAGCCCCAGGTGCCACATGTGCTGGCAGGAGTTCCGGGGGCACAAGGCCAAGCTGAAGAAGACACAACTTCATCGCCGTGAGCATGACTTCCAGGGATGTCCACAGCTGTGGCTTCTCCCAGGTATTTATAGTTCATTTACAGTCCTGCCTGTCAAGATCCCACACACCAACCAAGAGTTATCTTTTTTTTTTTTTTCTTCAGATGGAGTCTCGTTCTGTCGCCAGGCTGGAGTGCAGTGTCACAATCTCGGCCCACTGCAATCTCAGACTCCCTGGTTCAAGCAATTCTCCTGCCTCGGCCTCCCAAGTAGCTGGGACTACAGGTACGCACCACCACGCCCAGCTAATTTTTCTTTCTTTTTTTTTTTTAGCAGAGACGGGGTTTCACCATGTTGGCCAGGATGGTCTTGATCACCTGACCTCATGATCTGCCTGCCTTGGCTTCCCAAAGTACTGGGACTACAGGTGTGAGCCACCATGCCCGGTCCAAGAGTCATCTTTATCATAAGTACTTACTGTCTATTAACCCCATAAACATTCCACCTGCATCAGTTTTTCAGAAAACAGAACTGAACGTCAAGTTTGTCCTCAGGGACAGAGAAAGAGTTTTGCTAGCCAGTGGCTCAGAGGAAGCAGCGGCCTGTGCAAAGGTCTGGAGGTCTGAAAAGTACTCAGTGAGTTCCGGACCCGGAAATGGTTCAACATGAGTTAAGTATAAGGTGTCGCTGGAGATGAGGGGGATGGTGGAGAGGGAGGGTAGGTGGAAGATGAGGCCAGAGGGTCCAGAAAACAAAGTAGATGGTCTTAAGGAGCTGAGGTTTTTAAGCTCTAGGGAATCACTTTATGGGGGGTGTTATGAGCATATTTTATGGTATGGGGATAAAGGATGGATTACTAGGGGGAATACACTCAAGGCAGGAAGAGTGTAGGTTGTTCCAGTAGTTGAGGTAAAGAGTGGGGACCCTGAGTTAATAGGAAAGAGGAGGTGGATGCAGGAATCACTGGCCTTCTGGAATCAATCAGTTATCAGTCAGCCACTGGAGATAAAAGGGTCTGGAATACATGCACGGAGGATTCTAAGTGCCACTCATTGCAAGGACCGAGGTAAGAAGAGACAGGACAGGGTTGCATGTGGGTGAGGGAAGAGGTGGAAAAATGAGCTCAAATATTGACATTTTACATTTGAAATGCTTATGAAAATTCCAAATGGAGGTATCCAGTAGGCAATGTGAAGTATAATCCAGGAGCTCTAGAGAATGGTCTAGTTAGAGACACAGACTTGGGGCCTATCAACTATAGGCAGTCAGAACTGCAGAAATACACGAGAAGGTCTGAGGGAGGGCTTGGCTTGAAGAGAGGACCAAGGATGGTCACCTTGAAAATAACAGCGGTTAAAGGGCAGGTGGAAGACTAGCTTGCAATGTGGGCTGTGAAGGATGGCAATGGTGGGGGAAGATGGCTGGAAAGGTGGGTGAGAAGGGCACCCACAAGCTAGCAGGGGAGGGAACAGTCAACAGTGCCAAATGCCGCCACCTGCAATGAGCGGGGACTCACTACGGTAGGGACCTACACATGCTTTGTCTCATCCTTTTCATCTTTGCACAATATTAGCCTCTACTGTCTTCCAATATGACCAAAGTCTAGTCCATCTAGAGAGATCAGATCAAAAGTGAGCCTGAATCATTTACATCTAACAATGTTATCTAGACAGCATGCTTTTATTCTGAATCACCTGAACTTCCAGCTATCTGTGGTTTATAAGCTGGCATAAGCTGGCATTTTTCAGTCGAAATACCACAGGGAGAGGTATTTTAGGAGCTGATTTGGTATTCAGTTAATACTGTAGAACGTGCTCTTCCATTACCTTGAAGCTAATGACTAGCTAAATTAGTTATATGGCCCAAAGCAAAGATAAGATGGTTAGTATGTTTGACCAGTCATTAAAATGTGTGTCTTTCTGGAAAAATATTCTCTGAAGTGAAATGACACCATGATGTCTGATCAGCAATATAGCTCACCCTTATTTTAAAAGGTCTACTTTGAATGTCTCCCCAGGGTGATCATATTAAAAAAATCAAAATTTAATATGTCATTAACAGAGGTTAACTTGCTGAAAAATAAGCTGAATTCGTTGGGAATTGCTGCTAAAACATTCTGTAGCTGGAAAATATCACCCTGTTTCTCTGGAGAACGGTAGCAATAAAAACACACAGAATACACTTTCATCCCAAAATTGGCATACTTTAAATAATCCATGATTTTTTTGTTCTAAACTGGCTTAATAGGTCTGAGGCCAATAATATTTTCTATTTCCTCAGGATTTCTTCACTCAGTTTTTTTGTTTGGTAGAGCACTTAGTATTAACAAGGCACTACAGTAGGCTATAGGGGCATGAAGATGTCAGAAGTTCTATGTATAGTAGACTGCAATGTACTGGAAGCAACAGGAAAGTCAGAGAGATAAATACTTACATAAATACTAAATAGAGAAAAAACTACCTAATGAGAATTATGGGTGACTGAGCACCAAGGGGTTCCAAGGTCAGTGTGAGCCCTTCTGGCTGGAGTGGTCAGTGATATATTATTGAAGAAGGTGGCATGGGGCACCAGTAGAATTCCTGAGGCATCCAGATTCAGCACGGCCTCTGGAAGGTGACTGCCAGGTCAGCTTCACTGTCAGCTGGTGCCTCTCCTGACCCCTCCTCCCTTGTTACCAAGGATGCCAAAACTTTCCCAGCTTTCAGAATGACGACTGTTTGGTTCTACCTGGCTTATCCTTACTGATCCTGCCTAACTGGCTCTTGAATCATGTTTTCCAGAGGTCAACTGAGTCTAAGAAGACATTAAAAATCCTGAAATTGGCCATATCATCCTGCCCCTCCTTGATTTTGGACAGGATGCATTTGGGATCTGGCAGCACTTTTCTGAGGGCATCAACTACCAAGGTTGGAGGGATCTTTACATCAACCTACACTATACCTACCAGATGCTTTCTTTGACCATCTTGATATCCAGATATGGAGTATTCCCATTTCTTGGTTCCCATGGACTGAAACTTTACAGGTAAAGGCCAAAGTTTTGATTCAGCATGAATGAGAAATTCAATGTACTATAAGCTGGAAAGACTTGGCTGAAACTCAGCCCCAGCTAAAGCAACATCAGAACTGCATACACAGTGGTAAAGATCAAGTGTCCACTTTGGAAGTATAATCTTTATCTAGTGATCACTTTTCCAACATTTCCATCCAAATTTTGGAAGCACCTAAATCCAAGCCCTGCAACTATCCCACAATATTATAGTATTATTCACTTATATTTAAGATACTGTACTCCATAGAGCTAGGATGGTAGACATCAACATACAGAGACCTTTAGGGTTTTTTTTGTTTTTGTTTTTGTTTTTGTTTTTTTGAGAAGGAGTTTCGCTCTTGTTGCCCAGGCTGAAGTGCAATGGTGTGATCTTGGCTCAGAGTTTTGCTCTTGTTGCCCAGGCTGGAGTGCAATGGTGCAATCTTGGCTTACCACAACATCCGCCTCCTGGGTTCAAGAGATTCTCCTGTCTCAGCCTCCTTAGTAGCTGGGATTACAGGCATGTACCACCACGTCCAGCTAATTTTGTATTTTTAGTAGAGACAGGGTTTCTCCATGTTGGTCAGGCTGGTCTTATACTCCCGACCTCAGGTAATCTGCCTACCTCAGCCTCCCAAAGTGCTGGAATTACAGGCGTGGGCCACCATGCCCAGCTGGTACTTTCTCAAGCCAGGGATTGGATTGGGAAAACTGATGGAGTTGGCCAATTCCTATGGAAGTCACATTTCATTCCTGGAAACTTTGAATCTCAGATTTTCTTTTTTAAAGAAACTTCATCTATATATCATTTATATAATATGAAATATGTCAGTTTTAATTGTATACTTTGATGAGTTTTGGCAATATATGCACCACTACAATCAGGATGTATTTTATAACCTTTCCATGTTCTGAAAAAGGTTTTCTCACGCCCATCTGCAGTCAACACCATCCTATGCCCACCTAGCCTAAGGAAATCATTGAACTTCTTTGTGTAACTACAGTCTTGGTATTGGTAATTTCTCAGAAAGTGTAAACTCATGTTCATTAGCAGACAAATAGAAAAATGAATTACCAAATAATTAAATAATGCCTTGAAGGGCTCCAAAGTAAGTCACACCTCAAATTCTGACATACAGGCCCCTAAGGTCTCTTATGAATCCCCAGTGAAACGAATTAGTCAAATGTCAGGTAAAACCATCAGGCAATACACAAGTTCCTCCACCTTGGCTTCCCCACCTGTTGCTTGCTGGGTCACTTGCTCCCCTTTGCTTAGCCAGTTCGACCCACAAAATATCTCCTTGGAAGCCTTAGCTCTTCAAGGAGGTGACAACTGCTTCTGCAGAGCTCAGGTCCTTGTGGTCAACAAAAGCGATAGGCTGCGATCCTCTCCAGGTGAGCTGCAGAGGTTAGAAAGCCCTTCAATCACTGACTCTTGCAGCTTGGAGTATGCAAAAAGTCGCAGCGACAGAGACAGCAGTCTAGACGGTGAGTCTTCTTTCATACCGTCGAGACTGGCCCATGCAGGACCTGCTTTAGGCCTTTCTGCCTCAGTGTTTGCTTACTGCTCTAGTTCTTTTTGAAAGGCGACATGCTTTCTGGCTTGCTTCTTTTGGTAATAATGATGACTTCTTAACATTGGGATTTTAAAAAATCATCTTGGAGCTGACCTACATTTTTATACGTTCTGATGTTCCTCATTCCTTCGTACAGATCTGGGCTTCACTTCATATCCTTTCAACCTGCAGACGTGATTTTAGTATTTCATGCAGTACAAGTCTGATGGATTCTGTCAGCTTTTGTCATCTGAAAATGTTATTTTTGGGGGCCTTTCTTTTGGGGATTTTTTTTTTTTTACTAGACATGGAATTTTAGTATACTTTTTTCTTTCCATATCATTCCATTGTTTTCTGGCTTCCATTGTTTTTGATGGAGAAGTCAGCCCTCACTCTTATCACCGTGCTCTCCATACAATGAGGTTCCCTCTGGCAGCTCTTAACATTATCTCCTTATCTTGTGTTTTCAGCATTTTGACTGCAATTTGTTTTAACACATTGTTTTCTTTGTACCGCTACTGCTTAAGATTCACTGTGCTTTTTGGGTATTTAATTTGATGTTTTCCATCAGTTTTGGAAAAGTTTTCACCATTATCTTTTCAAATATTTCTTCTGGCCCATTCTCTTTCTTTTTCTTCTTGGATTCCAATTACACAGTGTTTGATATTCACCAGATCTTGGATACTCTGGTCTATGTTTATTACTTTTTTTCACTTTGTGTTTCCTTTCTCTCCAGCTTTATTAGGTATAATTGATAAATAATAATCATATATTCAACACATACAAAATAATGACTTGATATCTGTATACACTATGTAATAATTACAATCAAATTAATCAACACTTCTATCACCACACATAGTTATCTTTGTGTGTGTGTGTGTGTGTGTCTGTGTGGGGAGGACACTTAAGACCTAGTCTTAGCACATTTCAAGTACACAATACAACATTATTAACTCTAGTCACCATGCTGTACATTAGATCCCCCTGTGTTTCTATTTGAACAGTTTATATTGACCGCTCTTCAAGATCATTGATACTTACCTCTTCTGCTCAGTCTTCTGTTAACCTGTTGAATGATTTAGTCAATTCTGATAACATTCTCTTCCAGGAAAGTCTTATTACTTTTAGTAATTTTCTTCACTTAGGTTTTTTTTGATCTCAGCTCTCTGATGGGTTAAAAAATCTCTGAAACTATGTAAGCTGTTTGGCTTGTTCTTTTTGTTACGGTAGAAATCTAGAAAATAGTTTTATCATTTCTCCTCCAGTCAACTAGTTTCTATTTTTGCACTCATCTGCTCTGATCTGTTTAGGCAGAAGCTTAAACAATTCTGCTTGCTCAACTAACTCAGACACTGTGGATGTTAGGATGAAGGTACAGTTTGCATATTAAAAGATAAGCCAGTACATCTCTGAGATTTGCCATCCTCTCTGGTAAGGACTGCACTCAAAGTAACAGGAGGGCCTAACCTTAAATAAATATGCAGCCATACTGCTAGGGCAAACATCCACACACAGACACACAGACATACAAACAACCCAAGGACAGGCTTTCTGACAAGTGATTGATAGATTTATTTCAAAGCTGTCAAGTAGAGCCCAAAAAGAGTGGAATCTCAGGGTTCTCTTGGCAAGACTATGGTTCTCAGATGGGCATACAAGCTTTTTCCTTTCTGGGACAGTCACACGAAGTTAGTTAATGAGGGATTTTTATTCTTTTGTTTCTGGTGGCAGAAATAAAATATTCTTTTCAGGGCAAAGGAATGAAATCTCATCAAGAGGTTCCTGTCTAGATTCGCGTCCTTATATACAAGCCAACTTCTCTCTGCAGAATGTTCTACATCCCAGAAACCAGGATTGTTTGCCACTGATTTCATTTTCTTCTCACTGTTGCCTCTGGATTAAAAAGCCTCTCTCATTACTGCTCATCAGTGTCCTGCTGCTGGGGGAGCCATTTGTGCTGACGAATAGTTGTTTTTTTCAATGTACTGGGAAAGTGGCATTTTGAGAGAGACTTCTTCCATCTACACCCTTCTGTCTTAAGTATAATTCACTCATTCATTCATTCATTCACCCATTCATCAGTAAATATTATTGAGAGTGGACTGTGTGCCTGGCACTGTGCGGTGAATTTGATATAGACACATATAATACGAACACGATTCTAGCCCTATGGAGTATATACGTTATTAACTGATAAGTTCAGTCCAGCACACACTTACCAAGTTCTTGTATGTGCTGGGCATTTAAGAGTGTAATGACGAGTAAGATGGGCATTTCTCTGTAAGCATATGGTCCAATGGGGAAGACCTAGATACAATTTTAATACAATGCTTTACTGTTGTATAACAGAGAAACATGCAGATTGCTATGGGAATGCAGGTTGAGAGGTGCTGAGCCTAAAAGGAGGATACAGGGAAGGCTTCCTGGAGATGATGACGCTTGAGAGGAGTCTCAAAGGATGTGCAGGAGCGACAGAGGCTGCAAATGCCTGCCCAATATTCATGTTCCTCTTCTTCCTCAGTAACAGAACACCAACTATGTGCCCAGCAAAATTCTACTTTTCCAGCCTTGCTTGCATTAGGGCTGATCAGTGAGCTGTGAGTAGAGGGTTTCCTGGGGATTCCAGGGAGCTACATTCTCAGGAGGAATGGCCATGGCTCCCTTGTGACCATGGAGGTCCCACACTGTCCGTCAGTTGCATACTTCCAGCTTTTTTTTTTCATGTGAGAAAGAGTAAAATTCTATTCCTTCTCACTCCCTTAGCCTACACTTTATTTTTATTTTTAGTTTTATTGAGACAGAGTTTCACTCTTTCAACCAGGCTGGAGTGAAGTGGTGTGATCTCAGCTCACTGCAACCTCTGCCTTCCGGGTTCAAGCAATTTTCCTGCCTCAGCCTCCTGAGTAGCTGGGATTATAGGCACGCACCACCACACCTAGCTAATTTTTGTATTTTTAGTAGAGACGGGGTTTCGCCATGTTGGCCAGGCTGGTCTTGAACTCCTGACCTCAGGTGATCCGCCCGCCTCAACCTCCCAACGTGCTAGGATTACAGGCATGAGCCGCCATGCCCAGCCTCTTACCCTATACTTTAAAACAAAAACAAAAAAAAAACAGCCAAACCTAATCTTCAATCTGAAATAGTGTACTACGCCAGGTGTAGACAGGAAGAGAGAAGAGGCAGTGGGTCTGGGAAAATACTCAGCCTTGAAAAGTCAACCATAATAAATGTCAAATCCTACAGAGTATCCTTTAAATGGCAAGGGGGTACTTCAGCCTGACTCCATTTTTGCCTCACTCCCCATTTATTGACATGTGCTTATTAACATGTTTAGAAACTTAAAAATGCATTCATCCTTTACTGAAATCTGCCCAATGTCGTCTGCTATTATTTCAAATACTCATATTTCAGGAAGGCTCAGATTTAAGTGAAGGTGTCACCACAGTCTAAGTTACCATCTCCTGTCCTTGCATCCATGGCCGGGGAATTACTCTGCTATTTACCACTAATGCAGCTGCCGGGAGGATCCAGCCTCAGAGGACTTGGGTATGTTCTTCTCAAGGACAGGAAAGTCATGCACAGTGTATGTTCATTCATTTGTGAAGTTGTCCTTGTGGCCACAGTTGAAGGCCCTCATGCTCACTGTCAGCCTATACACCTGTCAGTCCTTCCCATAAGACATACTCAACACCAACCTGGTTAACTGATAATGCTGACTACAACCAAGGCAACTTCCTCCTACTTTAAAACCCAGCAGTACACAAATGGGCGCTCCCTACAGGCCAAGTAAAATTCCTTCATGCATCTCCTAATGACTCCCCACCAAAATGCTGCCAAAGAGTCAATACTGCCACCTCCCCCATGTCTGTGTACTCATCCCTGGAACTTATGAATATGGTAGCATTCATGGTTTGGTTCTGTGTCCCCATCCAAATGTCACCTTGAATTGTAATAATCCACCATGTCAAGGATGGGACCAGGTGGAGATAAATGAATCATGGGGGTGGTATCCCCCAGGCTGTTCTTGTGATAGTGAGTGAGTTCTCAGAAGATCTGACTTTTTTTATAAGAGGCTTCCCCCTTCACTGGGCACCCATTCTCTCTCCTGCCACCCTGTGAAGAGGTGCCTTCCGCCATGATGTAAGTTTCCTGAGGCCTCCCTAGCCATACAGAACTGTGAGTCAATTAAACCTCTTTTCTTTATAAATTACTCAGTTTCAGGTATTTCTTCATAGCAGTGTGAGAACAGACTAATACATCGCAACGGGAGTTTGCAGAAATGAGTAGGTTAAGGGTCTTGAGGTGGGGAGATAATTCTGGACTATCCAGGTGGGTCCAGTGAACAAGAGAAAGAGAGAGAGAGAGAGAGAGAGAGAAAGAGAGAGAGAAAGAGAAAGAGAGAGAGATTGAAACCTGAAGGTTACTTTGCTGGTTTTGAAGATGGAGGAAGGGACCTCAAGCCAAGGAATCCAGGCAGCCTCAAGAAGCCAGAAAAGGGAGAAAAGAGGATTCTCCCCCACAGCCTCCAGAAGGAATGCAGCCCTGCGACACCTTAACTTTAGGACTTCCGACCTACAGAGCTGTAAGAAAATAAATCTGTGTTGTTTTCAGCCATGACATTTGTGATAATTTTTTACAGCAACCACTGGAAACTAATACACATATTACTGAACTGTGAGAGGTAGAGGACCACTAGCCTGCATTTTCTCATAGAAGCTATAGCATAGCATTAATAATAGTGGTAATAATAATTGTTCCGCTTAAAAATTAGCTAATGCTTGCAAAGTGCTTACTATGAACCGGGCATTGCTAGGCTGAACATCCAACATACATAGTTTCCTTCAATTCACCAAGGTAGGCACTCTTAAAAAACACCCATTTAATAGAAGAGGAAAGTGAGCCACAGAGAAGTTAATTTGCTCAAAATTGCATAGCTAGGAAGTGAACTCTGGCTAGGGTCTAAACCTAGACAGTCTGAGCCTTGTAACCTACACTAAAATAATGGTGTACAGTCTATGCCACATAATTTTTGTGTTTGATTATATGCTTTAGTTATATTACTACCTTTGCTGTCATAGGCCCATTAGGGTATTATTTAATGTAGTCACTCATCTAAATCTTCATTCCCCTCTTCAACGGCTCTACCCAGTGCTCATCACTCTTCTGCTGGAGCTGGGAGTGGTGGAAGACCTGAGGTTTTCCTCTAGGTAGAAGGAACTCCCATTATGAACACTCAAGAGTAATTCTCAACGGATCAGAACTTCCTGAGAGCAGGACACTCTGGATTACCTGAGAAGCACTCCCAGTCTAACCCTTTGACCCACTCAAGAGATGTCCTATGTCTTAGAGGGTTCTGCCCTGGCCCTCCTCTGGCCACACCCCTCTTCCTGGAGCAAAGAGTCTGTGGAGCTAAAAAGCTGCACCCACAACAGCACATGCTTGCCCTTCAGACTATGCCCCAGGCACCTGAGCCCCAGAATTCCCTGCCCAAATGGCCTGGGCTTGATTCAGGGCTTGTGTAGGCAGCTTCCTCCCATCTGTCCTTCTGAGAGTGGACTGTTCCAGTGATGTGCCTACCCTGAGCCCGAAGGCTGCCTGAAGGGCTGCCACATGTAGGGGATGTGGATGAATCTGAGATTTGTGGGCTGGGTGTCTGCCTATGTGTGTGCAGAGAACCTTCTAGGCAGGGCAGAGCTAGACAAGAGAAGGGGTCTGGGCTGACTCTCCCAGTTCCACTAAGTTCTGGTAAAGAATTCTGAGGGGTCAGAGAATTCTAAGTTAGAATCTGGCCTCTAAGGTCCTTATGAAGGTGTACTCCTTAAGGTAAGAGGATAGCATGTATTTTATTTAACAGCTTGCTAGTGTGATTTAGAATTTTTAAACATTGAGATGAGGGCCATGTGAACCCACACTTGTCTTCTTATCCCAGGTCCTGCAAATGTTAGGACTGGACTAACCACTCCCTCTCAATAGAGGGAGAGACAGAGAAAGGCCAGGTAATGAATAGAGTGAAAAATGTACATTAGAAAAATGCTCTTTCAAAAAGCCTAGAAAGAAATATAGCCAAACATTAGCAGAGTCTGCAATGTCTGAGTTTTGGGGTTATGGGGATGTTGTTTTATTTCACTTACAGATATACACCTACGTAAGCAGCTTTATAATAAGAAAATATTTGTTTATGAATTCAAACTTATGAATATTCAATAAGTTCCCAGTATAATGTCAGCATTAGACTAGGATGAAAAACCAAACTAAACCAAACCAAATCAAAACAACAAATCTTCAAGACATGAAAAAGAAAGAAATGGAGAAATATGGATTGGGTAATGAAGAATGTATCCTCTTAGGCACTTTCATTAACAACTTGAAAATAGACCTTGACAGAATGATGACCTAATTTCTATATGCTCTTGAATTGGATGGTCTATCGGAAACAGAATCAGGATTCAAAAACATCCCCCCACCGTCTGACATCACTGGGTAATCTAACAAGATTACAGAACCGACTTTTAGAGAAGAGTTTAAATCCCAGTACTAGAATATATGTAACAGCTATATTGGCTGTGGGAGTTATAGCTTAACAGAACATGTGTCATAAAGATAATTAACATACAATAAATGCATCTATGAAAGATTAAATTAATCTAAGGTAACACTAATAGAAAAATACAGCATAAACTGAAGGTGTGGATAGTTTTCTTTTGCTATGTGGTGGCAAGACCTCACCTGGAATCTGTTTAATTTCAATACCAACTTTGGGAGACATTAAAAAAAAATACTGAAGCCTATGAAGAAGAAGTTCTCTCTCATTTGAAAAATTTTTGAAAAACCTAATCTAGTATTTTGACCATGTTAAGAAGGAAGGACACATGCATGTTTGGACCAGGGTGTTTTGTAGAGTTGGTAATCTTCTTCATGGCCTGCTTTAATGACTGAAGGATAAGCCCTTCACAGAAGGACTAAGGCTTCCAAGTACCCCAGGACAACAGAGGGAGGTTGATTTTAGCTAGATATAAAGAAAAACGTTGTAAAAATCAGAACTGTTTGAAAATAGAATGGATGCCTTTAGAAGAGAGCAAGTCTTACTTGCAGAACGTGTTGGGAGTTTAAGGAAACCCAATCCATGACACCTACTATCCCTGTCTCAGCTTGAAAAGAAAAATGGGTCAACTAATTTTTGACAAAGGCACCAAGAAGACACAATGGTATCTGGATAGGATAATATCTTCAATAAATGGTATTGGGAAAACTGGATATCCACATGTAAAATAATGAATTGAACCCTTAGCTTGTATCATACACAAAAATCAACTCAACATAGATGAAAGAACTTAACATAGGACCTGAAATCATAACATTCCTAGTAGAAAACACAGGGAAACCCCATCGCCTTGGCAATAACTTTTTGGATACCACACCAAAGCTCAGGCAACAAAAGTGAAAATAAACAACTGGACTACACCAAACTAAAAAGCTTCTGCACAGCAAAGGAAGCAACGAACAGAATCAAAAGGCAGCTTACAGATTGGAAGAAAATATTTGAAAACCATGTATTTGATAAGTGGTTAATATCCAAAATGTAAAATAAATGCCTACAACTCAATAGCAAAAAACCCCAAATAACCTGATTAAAAAACGGACAAAGAGCCTGAATAGACATTTCTCCAAAAAAGATATAAAAATGGCCAACAGGCATACGAAAAGGTAATCAACATCTCTGACCATCAGGGACAGGCAAATGAAAACCATGAGATAGCAACTTATACCTGTTAGGATGGCCATTATCAAAAAGACATAACAAGCGGTAGCACGGGTTGGAGAAAAGGGAACCCTGACATGCTGTTGGTGGGAATGTAAATTGTTGCAGCCTTTATGGAAAACAGTACGAAGGTTCCTTAAAAAATAAAAAAATAGAACTATAGCACCATATGATCCAGCAATCTCTCTGCTGAGTATATACTCAAAAGAAGTAAAATTAGCACCTCACAGAGCTGCCTTCTTATGTTCACTGTGGCATTATTTACAATAGCAAGATATGCAAACAACCTAAGTAAGCATCAAAGGATGAATGGATAAAGAAATTGTGGAATATATTATATACATATATATTAGGGAGAGGGGAGCATTATATATATAGATACCTATATATCCATAAATTTATTTATATACATATATATATATAAAATGGAATATTATCAAGCCTTAAAAAGGAGATTCTACTATTTTTGGCAACATGTATTAACCTGGAGGACATTATGCTAAGTGAACTGAGCCAGACACAGGAAAAAGTACTGCATGATCTTACTTACATGTGGAATCTTAAAAAAAAAATGTCAAATATATAGAGACAGAATAAAATGGTGGTTACCGGAAGTGGTGGGGGGAATTGTGGCAGAAAATGGGGAGATATGGGTCAAAGCATACAAAGTTACAGGTAGGACAAATATTCTAGAAATGTACTAGAGGACTATAATTATAATATTGTATAATGAAAATTTGCAAAAAAGTAGATTTTAGGTGCTATTACTGTATACGTATGAAAAAAGTAACCATGAAGATGATAAGTATGTTAATTTGCTTGAGTATAGTAACCACTTCACTATGTATAAATATATCAAAATATGTTGTACACCTTAACTATATATAATAGAAAAATAAGTAAATAAGAAAGGAGAGCAGGTGGAGTGGCATTTTTATATACAAGATCGCTAGGATGGAGGGCATGACTTGTGTATGTAGACTAGCGGGTTTTCTAATATCAAATTTTATGCTTGTGGAAATCTATCCACCCAAGCTTAGGCAGAGCCAGACTTCCTCGAAAAACAGAGCAGAATATAAGTTCTCTGCAGAGCATCTGCTACCAAGAAAAAAATGGGCGTGGAGCATGATCAGTTTACTCTTTCCAAACTTACCAGTAAGTCACTCCACCTCTCCTGTGGTGGCATGGATTTGTATTATGGCGCCACTGTTTACTAGTACCATGTACAAGTAAATGGTGCAGTCATGTGAGGAATGAATTGGCTACTCCACGGAAGTGCCCAGCACAGGGCCTGGTGTGTAATGGCTCTTCATAACTCTTACCTTGTTGGCTACCCCATAGTTATTCTCCTTCATCTTGTCTTTCCTGCTCCAACCATAGACCAAGCCTCTTGTTTCCTATAAGATTGAGACTGGTAACAGGAGTCCGTGGAGCTTGTGAACTTGGATGGGAATTAATTATATATTTAATATCACTAATCCCTACCTGAAGTTTGGTGTTTCCTTCAGTTATAAACATAGGTATGAATATCAGTAGTGTTAGTGGTATCTGTGACTTAGTCATAGATGAGAATCACAGATATCTTCGTATGATTTTAGAGCAGCTGTAGACACCTTGAAATACCAACTATGTTCACCATTACTTTTTTTTTTTTTCGGCAATGGAGTCTCGCTCTGTTGCCCAGGCTGGAGTGCAGTGGTGTGATCTCGGCTCACTGCAAGCTCCGCCTCGTGGGTTCACGCCATTCTCCTGCCTCAGCCTCCCGAGTAGCTGGGACTACAGGCACTCGCCATCATGCCTGGCTAACTTTTTTTTGGTTTTAATTTTTAGTAGATACTGGGTTTCACCATGTTGGCCAGGATGGTCTCGATCTCCTGACCTCGTAATCCACCTGCCTCAGACTCCCAAAGTGCTGAGATTACAGGTGTGAGCCACCACGCCCGGCCCACTATTACTTATTTTTATTTTTTGAGATGAAGTCTCTCTGTCACCAGACTGGAGTGCAGTGGCGCAATCTCGGCTCACTGCAACCTCCGCCTCCTGGGTTCAAGTGATTCTCCTGCCTCAGCCTCCCAAGTAGCTGGGACTACAGGCATGCACCACCATGCCCAGCTAATTTTTAGTAGAGACAGGGTTTCACCATGTTGGCCAGGATGGTCTCGATCTCTTGACCTCATGATCTGCCTGCCTCTCAAAGCGCTGGGATTGCAGGCATAAGCCACCATGCCTGACCCACTATTACCTATACTTATAGTAGATTGCATGTGATCGCTGCTGTCCTATCAACTGGTGTGATGGAGCTGCCAACTTGGGGGAATGCAGTCACCTCTTCCCACACTGGTGACCCAGACATTCACGTTGCTTTCCAGTATTCCCATTTGCGATTTGTTTTTGGTCATCACGAGGAAGGAGGGTACTCATTCTCATGCATGGTTTATTGTTCCCAGGTAAACTCAGCAAAAATGTTCTTTGCACTGGTATTTCTTTAAACAATAAAGTTTTACTTTAACTTGCTATATTTTAAATGCACGGTATTGACTTGTTATTTTTATTTACATATATTTTTGAGACGAGGTCTCGCTCTGTGGCCCAGGCTGGAGTGCCGCGGTGCAATACAACTTGCCGCAGTCTTGACCTCCTGGGCTCAAGTGATCCTCCCACCTCAGCCTTTTGGGTAGCTGAGGCATTTTTGTATTTTTTGTAGAGACAGGGTTTTGCCATGTTGCCGAGGCTGGTCTTGAACTCCTGAGCTCAAGGAATCTGCTCGCCTCGGTCTCCCAAAGTGCTGGGATTACAGGCAAGGGCCACTGTTCCTGGCCTGACTTGTTATTTAATTCATTCATAAAGAAACACATATTAAAAACCATGAATTTCTTTTTATTACTCTGATAACTGCATTTTCCTTTCAATCTTATATATTTTATATATTTAAAAATATTATTCAAGATAGGCTGGTCGCGGTGGCTCACGCCTGTAATCCCAGCATTTTGGGAGGCCAAGGTGGGCGGATCACGAGGTCAGGAGATGGAGACCATCCTGGTTAACACGGTGAAAGCCTGTCTCTACTAAAAATACAAAAAAATTAGCCGGGCGTGGTGGCGGGCGCCTGTAGTCCCAGCTACTCAGGAGGCTGAGGCCGGAGAATGGTGTGGACCCGGGAGGCGGAGCTTGCAGTGAGCCGAGATCGCGCCACTGTACTCCAACCTGGGCGACAGAGTGAGACTCTGTCTCAGGAAAAAAAAAAAAATTATTCAAGATAGTGTCCAAACTGTTCATCAAACTGCCAAATGGATCTCTAGTACAAAATGGCTAAAACTCTTTCCCAGGAGTGTGAGAATGTATATCAGGAAAATAATTACATCCTAAAAAAAGCTGCTGCTTCTGATGTGTGGGGAAATCAACATTTAGGGAATTCAACTGTTTTTAGTAACTTCCCCCCGAAGCTTTTGTTTGTGGGATTACTATTTACAACTGTAATTGGGATACATTTTCAAAGAAAACTTGGCTCAAATTTAGAACTCAGACACTTAAGACACTTTTCCTTGAGAAAATCTAAATATTTATGCGTCTCCAACTCACTTTCAAAAACATTTTAAAGCTTAAGATGTTATTGAGAGTTCCCCACTGTTGATGATGGTGATTAAAAAGGCCATTAAAAATGGCTCCCAGGAAAAGAACAGTTGTCAGGAAGTCAGGGCAGCCGGGAGGCAGAAGACCCACCGATTTGTTTCTTTGACACTGGCGGTTTAGTCACACAGTGATCGATTTCTGAGAACACTGGAGATGTGCTGGAATTAGTGTGGAATTTCTACACTCTTTGGCTCTGACTGGGACATTCCGTCATTACAACGAAATGAGACTGTGCTTTGCTGTCTCGCATCCTCTGTGAAGACGTTATCCAGCATGAAAAGGAAGGCAATGGAAACCGAGAGCCAGCATACAGGAGCTGCTAACAGAAAAACTGGTGGGCGAGCTGAGGTGAAATGGCTTGGACACAAACCAGTGCATGCAGTTCTAATGAGGCAGTAAGGCAGGCACGGAAGTGCGCATGATGTCAGCTAATTAACTTGGATGATGTTGGAGAGTGAGGTATCCTGAGGAAAAGCCAACAGCACTTAACTCACCAGTGTGGTTAATTATCAGAGAATGCTGTTCCTGTGTAGTTTCCTACCCAGCATTTTGAAAAGATATTTGGCTTTAAAAGTATTAAAAACATGAAGTGACTCTTCTTGCAGGCGATCAGCAGCTTGTATTGGTGATGGAAAAAAATAATGGGACTTGGCCAGGCGCGGTGGCTCACGCCTGTAATCCCAGCACTTTGGGAGGCCCAGGCGGGCGGATCACCTGAGGTCGGGAGTTCGAGACCAGCCTGACCAACACGGAGAAACCCCGTCTCTACTAAAAATACAAAATTATCCAGGCGTGGTGGCACATGCCTATAATCCCAGCTACTCGGAGGCTGAGGCAGGAGAATCGCTTGAACTCAGGAGGCAGAGGTTGTGGTGAGCCGAGATCACACCATTGCACTCCAGCAACAAGAATGAAACTCCATCTCAAAAAAAAAAAAAAAAAATACTGGTACTTTTCCTTAGGATAAGGTTAATGAATCAAGGTGATGAAGATGGCCTTTCTTAATTCAGTTGCAGCATAGAAGAAAATTAACTTTGTTTGGTGGATAATCATTGGAAGTGTGAAAGGATAAGTTGTTTTCAGAATACTTTTTAGAAATAATTTTTAGTTTTCTGTATCACAAATGGGAAATTAGGAAAATTAAATAGATACATCATGTTATTAGAATGCATAAGCATTACAAATGTAACTATCCTGATAATGGTAGCAAATATATTGAAGACGGCTCATGCAGGCCTTCCTTGCTTCCCAGTATTATCTGGAGGGGAAGATAATCAGCCTGGCAGGATGGAATAGAGAGGGACAAGATGGCGACCAGTCTCCGAAGCAGGAAAGAGCGGCATGAAAAGTGGCTTTAAATCAACAGATTTGTGTAAAGTGCAAATGAACGGTTGTACCTGAGCTGTATCACAGTGAACTAATTTAACAAGGAGCAGTTGCAATGTGTTCCATTTTAGCTATTCTGAGGACAATAAAATGACAATATACACAGGCAGATTAAGGATGTCTCTTTCAAGATTTGGGGCCTGGTTGATTTACTCATAAATCAAATGACAATATGATTTATTGTTCATCTGAACAAATTTGAGAGTGAAAGGGAACATAGTAGCAGCTACTCCTGAACAACGGGCATAAAGCAGCTTGCCTCGGGCAAACTGAGTAGTGTGGCTCCCACCACTTCTCATGCTATAGTTCCACAATTATGTGTCTCTTTTTCACATGTATTATGCCTCTCTTTACAGTATGATTTCCACGGGAATGTGAGATTTACACATTGTAGATGCAGAATTATATTATTGCACTTATTAATAAAATAACACAAGTAGATAGGACATACAGTAAAATAATTACTGTTTACCATCAGTATAGTTACACATGTGATAATTGATCTACAAAATACTTTCCAAAGGATTATTTCATTTAACTCTCAAAATAGCTGTTATGTGGCTTCTTCAAAAAATTCTGAATGATGTGGCCAGCCAGGTGCAGTGGCTCACACCTGTAATCCCACCACTTTGGGAGGCTGAGGTGGGTGGATCATGTGAGTCCAGGGGTTTGAGGCCAGCCTGGGCAACATGGCAAAGCCTTGTCTTTAGAAAAAAATACAATAAATTAGCCTAGCCTGCTGGCGGGTGCTGTAGTCCCAGCTACTCAGGAGGCTGAGGTGGGACGATCACGTGAGCCTCGGAGGTTGAGGCTTCAGTGAGCTCTGATTGTGCCACTGTACTCCCAGCCTGAGTGACAGAGTGAGACTTTGTGGCAAAAACAAAACAAAAATGATGTATCAAATAAACAAGTAAATAAGTTTTATGTGGATATACTAATGCAATGATGCAGCTATAGTCATCATATAAATATGTAATTCATTAAACAAATAATGATATTTCATAAAATGAAATACTATAGAACAATGAAAACAATTTATACATAGAGTGTAACAATTTGGATGAAAGAAAAAAGATATATTTGCTTATAGATGTGCAGAAAATTTCTGGAATAACAACGCTAAGTGGCTGCCTCTAGAACCTGTAACTGAGGCCTGAGGACAGGGAACTAAATCGTTCTGTATGCCGTATGATTGTTGTGTGGTAGGTGATTACTTCGCACAATGATGACATTTGAAAAATAGCATCATTATCACTATATTTAGTACGTACATGCCCATAATAGAGCAGTTCATAAAACACTATCTACGCATTCACATGTATAATAATACTAATAGTTTAAAAAGTTTCAAGTGTGGGTATGTATCCTAAAATGCCTAGAAAGATAAGTAATAATAAGTAGTGAGATTCCTGATCTTACTGGTTTTTGCTTTTTATGTTAACTTTCTACTTTTTCATTTTGCTTGAATGTGTTATAATAATACATTTATATTTTATAATCAGAACGCAAGCAGCAATGCCACTTCCATCTTGAGGAAGTGTAATGAGGGAACCAGCAATGCTGGTTTCAGTGTCTCAGTTTGGCTGGAAAGGATTTAATCCTGACGCTGCAACATTAACTTTCTGAGCATATGCTCTGTCCCCGGGGAAGACGACAGTCAAGGGAATCTTGAACTTCTTGGAAAATAAGAAAATTAAGGGCTTCTTTTAAAAGGTAAGTGATTTTACTTTTGAGCAATTTGGCTTGGCTTTGTTTTAGGAGAAAACTGGAATCTTACAATGTAGCCCTCTGAAGGGTGGCTTGCACAAAGCCGGGGTCACTGGGGCACCCCCTCCCTGTATTGTGACAGTGTGGGGCTGGTCTCCAACTTCCCTAGCCTCTGCTTTCCAGGTGCAAGGTGGAAATGCACTTCCCATCTCCTTTGAAGTTAGACCAGGCCACACGATTTGCTCTAGACAAAGAGTTGTGAGCACCAGTGACAAGTGTCATCCAGGTGAGAGCTTTAAGGGCCAGCACACAATTCCTTGCTCCCTTCCCTCTGGTGCGGGATCATGGAAGCCCAGGTGAAGGTGAGCCTCTGTCAGCCTCGGCCTTGATGAGGAGGGCAGCCTTCAGCCGTGTGCAGGCCATAGCATGAGCGAGAAATGAACTTTTGTTGGGTGAAGCCACTGAGATTTTGGAGTATTTATTATCACTGCAGCGTTTCCTATCTGATCATGACTATATAATTTGTGAAGCCCAGTGCAAAACAAAGACACAGAGCCCCTTCTTCAAAAATGATTTAGCATTTCAAGATATTAGCAGTAGAGCCTCAAACTCTGGGGGGCCCTGTGAGTATGGGGCCCTGTGAGTATGGGGCCCTGTGAGTATGGGGCCCTGTGTGACTGTACAGGTCGCACACTCCAAGCTGGCCCTATTTTCCTATTCCACCATCACAACAATCCTGGAAAAGAATCTTAATTCTCTTATTTCACATATGAGAAAATTGAGAGCTTAAACAGCTTGCTTAAAATAGCAGACTCACAAAATGCCAGAAGCGAGAGTTTGATTCCATTGGTATTAATAACACTGCGATGATGGGTCTTTTGTGCATTCCTGGTTCTGGGCTTTGGGGCACAAGGAGCCAAGTACACTATTACAGGAAGCAGACAAGACTCAGGAAATATCGTCTCCTTTGTAGGAAATCACCTAACTGGAACCTTCAATGGAAGGTAAGAAAGAGTTAACGTCTAACCCATTACATGCTAAGTGAATGTTTTCTCTTGCCAGAAAGTATAATTAGTAATTTCAGGCCTTATCTGAAATACCTGCCTCAGCACATGCTGAAAGTATCAATAAAGAAAAGCAGGCACCGCTTTTAATTTCATTGCTATAACTAATTAGCATTAGAGAAACCATTTTCATAAGCAGTGTGCTAACAACCCATTGGTAACTGGAAAGGAAAGCTGATGGTGCAGCTTTCTCCATGGTAACCGGGCAAGGAGAAAAGCGCTTCACAGCCACGAAGAGGGGGTTCCTGAGGGAAGCACGAGACGCGGGCTCCAGGCAGCAGCACGTGGAAGTGGGCAGGCACTGCCCCTGACTTCAGATGCCACAAAGAACATTGGCATATTCCAGTCAAGGGCAGTGTTTTGAACTGAAAATATTACATGCCACCATAGAACTGTTTTCTACATATTCCTTAAAAGCTATTCAAACCGTATCAAGATTTTTTTAGAAAGGGCTCTACCAATTAAAATCACATTGGTTTTTCCTAAAGAATTCCTATCAACTCTCCCACCCAACATATCCTACCTCTGTACCCAGTACAGGGGGCAGAAGGCATCAGGAAAAGTAATAAAAAGAACCTTTGGCTGGGCGCGTTGGCTCACTCCTGTAATCCCAGAACTTTGGGAGGCAGAGGCAGGCGGATGATGAGGTCAAGAGATTGAGACCATCCTGGCCAACATGGTGAAACCCCATCTCTACTAAAAATACAAAAAATTAGCTGGGCATGGTGGCGTGTGCCTGTAGTCCCAGCTACTCCGGAGGCTGAGGCAGGAGGATTGTTTGAACCTGGGAGGTGGAGGTTGCAGTGAGCTGAGGTCGCACCACTGCACTAGAACCTGGCGACAGAGCAAGACTCCATCTCAAAAAACAAAAAAACAAAACAAACAAACAAAAAAACAAAAACAAACAAGGAAAAAAAGAACCTTTGCCGCACAAAGAGGGTAGGTAGTGAATCTGGTAATTTTAAAAGGCAGCTGTCATTAAATCCTGAGTTTCAAGATGAAATCCTATCACTCTGTTTGAGCACTTTATTATTGTTCTTACTGATTGTGCCCTAGAACACATTAGTGAATTGGCACAATTCCTCTGTCATTTTCTTCTCTTCATATAAACTTAGTTTGGGCAATTTTTCAAAGAAGGAAGGAAGAAAGGAAGTAAAGAAGGAAGGAAGGGAGGGAGGGGGGAAGCCAAAAGAAACAAGGATTGAGTTTGTTGGAGTCACTTTAGAACATTAGTGCCACACTGGTCCATAAATATGTTCATTTTGCGGGGGGTGGGGGAGACTGCAACAACATCATACTGTATCAATGATGAATTCAGCAGTCACTTAAAATGAAAAATGTAGGTGGCTTTCAAAGAAACAATCTCAAGTAAAATTGTTAACAAAATTTATCAATTTTTGAAAACTGTATATTCAAATAGATAACATAAAAACAAGAATAATTTAAAGCATGTTACTCAAGTAGATTTCACAACAAATGATACATTTAAAGTTTTATGGCTCCAATATTAATGCTTTAGGAACTGTGTGGCAAACATTTACTAACCAGGTTCTCATGACCTATTGACTGTGTGAAGAATATTTGTCAGCATGCCAGCGTGCAGTGTTAGGTTCTGTTAGGATCAAAACAATCTCCCTCAGGAAGCTTATATAAAAAGTTGTCCTTGTCCCTACTCTTAGGTCAAGAAAACATTGTCATCAATATGAATATGAAGAGATGCATGAAATAATATGACTAAGTTCTTTAAGGGAGAAAGCCGCCATAGATTAGCTAGTTAGTTTGAGAACTGGCTTTTAAATACATACTTTCTCTACATAATTTGGAATGTTTTAGAAAACAAAATGGGAACAAAGTACAATGCACATTAGCTGGGCAGGGAAGCATGAAGAATGCTTTCTATGTTACGGCTAATTCCCTGCAAGCTAGCCTGACTTTCAGAGCATTCAACTGAGTACGTGGCTGTTCTCCACCATGAGGCCAGCACGTGGTTAATGACCCCAATTCTGGCATTGTTTCTGGGTCTTGTTTTTTTCTGCACAAAGGTTAATTGAATTTTTACAAGGGTTTCCTAGAGGACTTGCACAACTTTTTGGTATTAAAACAAAAGGCCATCTTATAATAGACTTACAATATGACTTTCATAAGCACTTTAAGTATTTTAGCTTAGACTTTAGTAACTGTGGCATATTTAATGTTTCATAGCTTTTTGAGAATTTCCACAGACATTCTCAGCATCTTCACTAAATTTAATCACGAAGTCTGGCAGTACAGAATTCTTCCTTCTCCCTCGGCTTCTTTTTAAGTTTGAGAGTGAATTTGGTTTTGTAAAAGTATGCTAGGGAGAAGATGCAAGGGACTTCTCAGCAATTTCTCTCTATGTGTTCTGCAGATAAATGTTCTTTCCGGCTCGTGACAACTAACAATTGTGTTTCAAAAAAAAAAAAAAAAACATGCATTGTTAATGAGACTTCGCCAGAGATGCTTAGAGTTAGGTGAAATAGAGATAACTATTTTCATAGCTATGCATTAATTGACTGAATTGGCTTTGTATTTCAGGCCAACTCCAAAGCACTGGTTAATAGTTATAAAAATGTTTCACAGTGCTCCATGTCGGCTTCCCCCTGAAAATCCATGATAAAGATTGAGCGTGGTTGAAAGGCTTGTCATGCGTAAGTGCTAATTAGCCCCAGGATGCTTGCCTTCATGAACTTTCAGGCCTCATCTATAAGGTCAGGAAAGGGGTCATAGCTCATAGAATATGGACTTGCATTAATTCCCAGCGTATAAACTCATGGATCCTCCACAGAATTCACTAAACTTCAATAAGCTACAATTCTATCCTTACCTCACATGTCACATCCCTAAAGGTGACATCTACATTAATGCCCCTCATCCCCAATAGAGAGCACATTGGTAGCTCAAATAGGCTATTACTCACTGTGACCTCTTCTACTTATTTCTTAAGGCATGGGAGTGGCATAGTGAGATCCTGGCAGGAGCACTGTTCACAATAGCAAAGACTTGGAATCAACCCAGATGCCCATCATTGATAGACTGGATAAAGAAAATGTGGTCCATATATATCATGGAATACTATGCAACCATAAAAAGGAACAAGACCATATCCTTTGCAGGGACATGGATGAAGCTGGAAACCGTTATCCTCAGCAAACTAATGCAGGAACAGAAAACCAAACACTGCCTGTTCTCACTTATAAGTGGGAGCTGAATGATGAGCACACATGGACACATGGGGGAACAACACACACTGGGGCCTGCTGGGGGGTTGTGGGGAGGGAGAGCATCAGGAAGAATACCTAATGGATGCTGGGCTTAATACCTAGGTGATGGGTTGATCTGTGCAGCAAAACACCATGGCACACGTTTACCTATATAACAAACCTGCACATCCTGCACATGTACCCCTGAACTTAAAATGAAAAGTTGAAGAAAATTTTAAAAAAAGACCCTGCCTGGCAGGGTTTCAGCTTAAAGAAAATTTCTGGGTTTTGCACATGGCCATTTTCTGAACTCCTATAACTGGCTTTTGAACCAAAGTCCTCTTGGAATGCTGAGACGCACTGGAAACCTCTAGATGGGCCATCCAGCCTGAAGAAAGCCTTTCTTGTTGCTGCTATTTGTATCATTATTTCCTTTACTAACAATAACTAAGATGCACTGGGTACGTTACGTGTTAGGGAGCGTCCCAAGTGCTTAGTAAGCATCGATTAGTTTCATTTTTACAACCATCTTTGCCCTGTGAAATAGGACATGGGATTCACTCTTTTTAAAGATGAGACAGTTGACACTTGGGAAGCTTAGGAAGGTTTCCCAAAGCAAGCTGTGGGTACGGACGGCATCAGAACTAAACGCAGGGAGTCTGACTCAGGGTGTTCAATCTCAGCACTACTGAAGTTTGAGACCAGGCCATTCTCACGGGCCCGTTGTGGGCACTGCATGGTGTTTGGCACCATCCCTGCCTCTACCCGCTAGATGCTAGAAGCATCCCCCTGTTGTGATGACCAAAACTATCTCCAGACATGACCAAATATCCCCTGGGGACAAAATCGCTGGCAACTGAGCACCACTGCTCTGACTCAAAGGTGTCTGCTCCTAACCACCTGCCTCTCAAAGGTGTCTGCTCCTAACCACCTGCCCCTCAAAGGTGTCTGCTCCTAACCACCTGCCTTTGCTGCCGCCGGCTTCCCCCTGCTTCTTTGAGGCAAAAATCAGGTCGGACTAGCATCAGTGGCAAAGGAACCAGTCAGATCAGCTCATGTGACAGCTTTGACAGACCAAGCATTTTGGTCACATATTAGCTTTTGAGAATCAATATGCATAGGCTGGAATGACACTTTCAGTAAATCAACATTCAGGCTATAACAAACCTATTAATATTCTGGGGAATTCATTGTGTACCGAGCCAGTCATTCAGATGACTATATGCCTTAGGTCTTTTTATGAAATAAATTAGATTTAATTTGGTAGGCTAGGCAGAGTAGGCAGAGAGTGCCTTGCATTTCCTGGTTATACTAGTGTGTGGTGTGATAAAAAACTGAATAGGCATCTCCATCAAATGATTCCTGTAATGTCCCCATTGGCTCTTTTGAAATAAAACCTGTGTCCTGTTTCCCTCTTCCTAATTCACCTTGCTCTTGCCTGTGTTCTATAATGGACAATGTGAACACTCAGACAGGGCTGATTTTCTAATCAATGGTAACAACTGGAGTTAGAAATGAAAATATTATCATAGTAAACTATATTTATTTTAAAGTCCATAGGCTAGTTTTCATCCCCTCCCAAACCACTCTAATTTATATAGGAGGGGGTCAAAGTTTAGAGGAATACGAAGATGTTTCTAAAATTTAGATGCAATATGTATAAGAGAGAAGCTTCTACTTGTGATGAATTAGTTAGAAATCAAAATTTTTTTGGACAGATTCACTTGAGAGAATGAAGAAAATTCAAGTAGAGAGAGGTATCCTGAGAAAAACAGAATATTTTAGACTGAACTGGGATAATCTGGAGACTTAGAACAATAATATATAAGGCTTTATATATTATATATATATTGCTTTATATTGAAATTTCATGGAATTATTTTAGCTCTTAAAGTATAGGAAAATCAGTTAAAGATGGAAACACTGATGAATCTAATGAGAATTTTAAACATATAAGTTTATTTATCTTAAACTGTAAGATTCTATTAGGCTTTAAGACTATAATTTTATGGACTGTGAAAGTTCTAAGGTCCCTTAAGATTATGTAGAAGAGATGTTTACTTTTTAGCAAAGAAAATATTGTCCAGAAACCCATTTTTTAGAAACAGATAAACTATTTATTTTTAATAAATTAAGCTTATTTTTGGTGAACACAAACTTTTGAAATTTAGTTTTGTGAAAGACACATGTAATCATGTATTATTTCGTTCTTTCTATATTTCATTACGTTGCCTAGATCAAGCAAACACTGATATACCCAGATAAGTGTGGCAAACAGTTATGTGTTTTTTTTAAACACCTCATTTTACAATTTTGTAATGCAC
Source organism: Homo sapiens (assembly GCF_000001405.40). Lineage (NCBI taxonomy): Eukaryota > Metazoa > Chordata > Mammalia > Primates > Hominidae > Homo > Homo sapiens. The sequence continues at coordinate 161,486,288 of NC_000006.12, forward strand.
TTTATTAAACAGAAACTTTAGCTCAAGGCTGCACAAAATAATGAATTTTCAGTTTCTGCTAAGAGTATGTATATGTTGTTTTTGTTTCTAAATAGTCTATGATATATTTAAAAATGAAATTTGAAGTCAGATTTCATGCATAGAACCATAAGGATTTTAGGAACGTGTTCTGACAAGCAGTGGTGTGAATACAGCTTCTCACATAAGAGGTGAGTTAACAGAGGCTCGGAGCAGATAAGTCACTGGTGCTGAGTCACAGGCTGGCAGAGCAAGGATCAGAATGCAGGTCCTCTGCCTTTTAAGCCTGCGTTCTTTTTGGTTCACACTGCCTCTATTATTAAATTACTTAATTTATCAGAGCAAAAAGCAAAACCTTAGGGATGCTATTAGCAATTTACTATTTCCAGTTCTTTTGGGAATCTGTTAATTGCCCTTTCATAAATGCTGCTCATTATGATTAAGACTTTGATTAAATGTGAAAGTCTAGGATTTATATGTTACAGACATATTTAATATTAATTTAAAGCACCAGAGCAGAATGAATTGTGCATTCCAATTTTTTAGCTCTATCATACACTCTTTAATCAAGGATTTTTCAAGAACTTGCTTTGTGCTAGCAGGACCTGATTTTTCCCCTCAGGAAGCTCACAGTTTAATTAAGGAGAGCTCATATTAGTAACAATGCACATCAGTGTCTGAGTAAGAGTTTAGGGGAGGTGTAGCTCGTCTTCATGGAGGTTAGGGGCAAGTGAGTTTAGTGAATAGGTGCCACGGAGTGAGACGGGGAAAGATGGGTGTCCTGGTTGAGGGGCGATGAGGTAAGAATGACTAATGCTTATGAACCATTGCCTGATAAACACTGTGCCCAGGACTGTATATGGATCATGTTTAATCCAAAAGCAATTCTGAGTGAAGTCCTATCCCTCAACCCTTTTTACAGGAGAAGACATTGAGGCATAGACCCATGAAGTGGGCTTGCTCAGTAACAACTGCTCAGTGAAGGGGCTGGGACTCCCAGCACTTGCCTGGTTCAGATCACACTACTGTCTCCTTCCTATACTGCCCCTTCGCCCATCTGTGTGAGCCAAGGCAAGGAAGACAGTCTGGGGCCTGTGGGATGGCAAAGGAATTTTCTAGAACTAAGAGTGTGTGTTGGGAAGGTAATGAGATGGGTTTGGAAAGGTTAGTTTGGGTAAAGCTTGAAAAGCCAGAAAAAGGATTTTAGCCCATGTTCTAAGCCTTCACCATTTTGTAGACCATCTTATTCACATTTTGATGGTCGCTTAGGTAAACTAAGATCTATTTTAGACTTGCAAACAACTACAAGGAGAAATTAGTTGAATAATATTAAATATTGACTACTGATATGATAATATGTGTATTCATGTAGGAGGTAGGGGTTGTGCCTTCTTTTCCATTCATTCAGAAAAAGCGCCTATGGAGGCTCGCGAATAGAGAGGCACCATGCTCATTGCTTTGGGCATACCCTGCCTCCAGCATGAAGTCTGGCACTAGGAATTTCCCATTAATGTTCAGTGAATGAATGAATGGAATTTCCTGCCCTGCTCCTTGCCTCCCTCCCTTCCCACCTCCCCCTACCTTCCTTCCTCTTTTTCTTCCCTCCCGTCATTAAACACATATTTACTGAATACCTACAAAACTTCTATGACTAAAACCAATGAGATTCTCCCATGAAATGGGGTGGAGAGAGGGGAAAGGCAGAAAATAAGCAAGGCAATTGAATAATGTAATTCCAGTTAGTGGTAAGTGATGAAGAAAGCAGGGCTGGCTTACAGGGTGAGATCGTGCAGTGGTTGGGGAAGGCATGGTCTAAGCAGGCCTCTCCTGGGAGGGGACACCTGTTTAGAGGGCTAAATGAATGGAGGCAGCCATGCAAAAAGCTGAAGGAAGGTCCTCCAGGAAGGGAGAGTCATGGCCCTAGGAAGAGGACAAGTCTGCTTCATTTAGAGAACACCATGAAGGGCCAGGGTACTGGAGCATTGTCAACAAGGGGAAAGTGATCGGGCCGAGGACAGAAGGCCAGGTCACATAGGTCTTTGTAGTGTGAGAAGAACTCCAAATTTTATTCTCCGGAGTGGAGCTGCTTAAACTGTTAGTATAAATTATAATGGAATTTAAGTAATGTTCACAGAGGAGCAGAGAAGATAACAGAGACCGAGAAGGACATCTGAATTTATTATATTTTAATTAATTTTTTTAGAGATAGGGTCTTCCTCTGCCACGTAGGCTGAAGTGTGGTGGTGCCATCATAGCTCACTGCATGAATTCCTGGGCTCAAGTGATCTTCCTGCCTCAGCCTCCTGAGTAGGTGGGACTAAAGGCATGCACCACCACACCTGGCTAATTTTTAAAATTTTTTGTAGAGGTGGGGTCTCACTATGTTGCCCAGGCTGGTCTTGAACTCGGCCTCAAGTGATCCTCCCACCTTGGCCTCCTGAAGTGTTGGGATTACAGGCGTAAGCCACCACACCTGGCATAACAAGGAATTTTTGACAGTGAATCTTGACTACTAAGAGACTAGGGGACCATGAAAGAAAACAGTACATTAACCAGGAAAAGGATGGCTGATACATTGAATGATGAAGAGGAATTAAGGCAATGGAAAATAGAACACAGACCCTTGGAGATGAAGAGGTCACGATTTACCATTGGCTGATAACCTACTGTGATGACATTTCTCAGGAACGAGGCGACTAGAAGAAAAACATGAAAGAAAAGGGGGCTAAGAGTTTTCAGAATTCTCACAATACTTTTTAAAAAGAGTCTCAAAAATCAAAACCAGTTTTGGCATACTGATTTCTAAGACATAATTCACTCTCCTTCTTCCTATCCCTCCCTTCCTTCCTTTTCTTAATAGAAATTGTTTTATTTATACATTTTGTATTTTAGTTGCCTTGTCAGTTAAGTGATTACATTCATACTGGAAAAAAAAAAACATGGGCAATATAATCATAAAAATACAAATTTCTGGCCGGGCACAGTGGCTCATGCCTGCAACCCCAGCACTTTGGGAGGCCGAGGTAGGTGGATCACCTGAGTTCAGGAGTTCAAGACCAGTCTGGCCAACATGGTGAAACCCTGTCTCTACTAAAAATACAAAAATTAGCCAGGCATGGTAGCACACACCTGCAGTCCCAGCTACTCAGGAGGCGAGGCAGGAGAATCACTTGAACTCCGGAGGGCAGAGGTTGCAGTGAGCCAAGATGGCGCCACTTCACTCCAGCCTGGGCGAAAGAGCAAAACTCCATCTCAAAAACAACAACAACAAACCCAAAACAAAAACAAATTTCTATATTTAAAAATGATGTATGTAATAATTTTTTTTTGCTATACTTGGAACTTTTTTTTTTAACCTACTAGGGATCTAATACATGAATTATTTATGCAGGAATTCCTAGATTGTCATTACTACAACACTTATGGTATATTTCTTCCTTGAATTGTTGAGACCTGATTTATTAGGTGAAGGATGACATTGTTTTCAAGGGAAAGGAATGCTGTTAAAAACCAAGCTGTTATACAAAGGCTTTCCTCCAGGCTCTGCAGGAACTCCCCAGTTCTTGGCTTGTTGCTGATTATGCTAACACCAACTTCTGGATTCATTTGAGTTCCGATGGCTCCTGCCATACTGCTCCCAATTACTTTAAGCTGGGCATCCAATTTCCACAGTAACTCCTGGGTTCTCCTTGCCCATCTGTTCCTGCAGTGGCATCAAGCCCCATAAAGAAGGTAGCTGTTAGGATATTCCAACTTAATGTCTTACCAGGAGGACCTAGACCAGCAATTACAATACAATGACGTAAGCATTTTCCTCCTCTAGTCAAGTTGAAGAAGAAAAGAGGAGCTGACAAACATAAGGCCAAGGAGTATCCCTGGTCACAAAGGCTTTGAACTCTTACCCAGGTGTGGAGAGCCATCTTTGGCATGCTCGCTCCCAGCACAAAAGTGCCATGGCGGTGGTCTGTCCCTCTAATCTACGTAAATCTCTCTACTTTTCTTTCTTGCTTGCTTGCTTGCTTGCTTGCTTGCTTTCTCTCTCTCTCTCTCTCTCCCTCTCTCTCTCTCTTTCTTTCTTTCCTTTTTTTTTTTTTTTTGAGACAGAGTCTCACTCTGTTGCCCAGGCTGGAGTGCAGTGGCATGATCTCAATCTCAGCTCACTGCAACATCTGCCTCCTGGGTTCAAGCGATTCTCCTGTCTCAGCCTCCCAAGTAGCTGAGCTTACAGGCAGGCACCACCACGCTCAGCTAATTTTTGTATTTTTAGTAGAGATGGGGTTTCTTCATGTTGGCCAGGCTGGTCTCAAACTCCTGACCTCAGGTGATCCTCCCACCTTGGCATCCCAAAGTGCTGGGATTACAGGTGTGAGCCACTGTGCACGGCCAGATCTCTCTACTTTTCATAGATACAGAGAGGGTTTGGCTGTGTGTCCCCACCAAATCTCATGTCAAATTGTAATCCCCAGTGTTGACTGGATTGTGGGGGTGGGGTTCTCATGCTTGTGTGAGCACCATCCCATCGGTGCTGTTCTCGTGATCATGAGTGAGTTATCGTGAGATCTGGTTGTTTAAAAGTGTGGTATCTCTCCTCCCTCTCTCTCTTCCCCCTGCTCCCGCCATATGAGATGCCTGCTCCCCTTTTGCCTTCTGCTGTGATTGAAAGTTTCCTGTGGCCTCTCCAGAAGCCAAGCAGGTGCCAGCATCATGCTTCCTATCCAGCCTGTGAAACCATGAGCCAATTAAACATCTTTTCTTTATAAATCACCCAGTCTCCGGTATTTCTTTATAGCAGTGCGAGGATGAACTATTACAGATACCATTGCCTGTGTTCAGATTTCTTTAGAGTCGAGCACTTTCAGTTATATATCAGATGACTTCAAGATCTTTTGAAATGATTTGGTTCTCTTAGAAAACTTCGTATGGACAGTTGGGTAGGTGGCTGGGCTGATGGGCAGGGTGATGCCTGAAGGAAGAAGGATCGTACTCATTCATTTCCCCAAGGCTTTCTCGATTGCTCTGTGAACCACACAGGGAGCGTGAGAGGGCGTTGATGGGGTTTGTTTCAGGATGCTCTACTGCACCTGGCTGAACATCGTTTGTTGGGTTGTTCTTGTTAGTCCAAAGGGAGAGGGAGTCTAAGAGTATAATGTGAGTTGGAATCTTGGAGAAACAACTTACAAAGCTTGTGATTTGGGCAAATCCACTCTCTGCACCTTTCAGTGCTGGCATATTAGGTAAAGACACACATTTCAGAGTGGCATGTAGAGAAGTTCAAATCCCAGCCATTTCATTTGCTCCTGGAACTTTGTACGGGAAAGTGACTTAACTTCCTTTTTTTTTTTTGAGATGAAGTCTTTCTCTGTCACCCGGGCTGGAGTGCAATGGCGCGATCTTGGCTCACTGGAACCTCTGCCTCCCAGGTTCAAGCAATTCTCCTGCCTGAGCCTCCTGAGTAGCTGGGATTACAGGTGCCTGCCACCATGCCCGACTAATTTTTGTATTTTTTAGTAGAGATGGGGTTTCACCATGTTGGCCAGGCTGGTCTCGAACTCCTGACCTCAGGTGATCCACCCATCTCGGCCTCCCAAAATGCTGGGATTACAGGCGTGAGCCACCGTGCCCGGCCTATGACTTAACTTCTTTAACCTTGTTTTTTATCCTTTCTAAACAAGGGTCAAAACATTACCTTCCTCATAGGATTGTTGGGAGAATTAAGTAAGGTAAAACTCATAAGACATATAAGAACTGCCATCAAGTAAATGCTCAGTACATGTTAGCTGTCATCCATCTCGTTGTTGAGAACCAAATTAAATATCACTCTATAAGTGAAAGCACTTTGTTAAGACCTAAATCAATGTTAATTATTATAATGATGAGGTTGAGTATTGCTTCATCCTTGATGCTACTCTCCTCAGTAACTTTGCCAATGATTTAAAGATGTAGAAGCTATTCTTGTCAGATGGATGGCACAGGCCCGGGGTGGGTCTCCTGGTAGGACAAGACCAAGATTATGGCCTATGGTCTTGGACAAGACCAAGATTATGGTGACAGTTGAAATTGATAAGGGGTAAAAGTAAAAGTTTCTTTTATGTTCAAAAATGAGGTGCATTAAGAACTCCTGGGAGGAGACCCAGCTTGGAAGCAGTCAACGTGAAAAGTTCCTGGGGGTTTTAGTTGATGGTCAGCTAATGCTGTTTTGGGCTGAAGACCAGAACTGCTAAATTCCATCTCTAATCATAAGATAGTTGAAATTTTGTACTTTGTTCTAGACACCACATATTAGGAGGGCCTTATTATATTAGGTAGAAAGAACCTTGGCAAGTCAGTGTTTTGAAAATACGGTGGGTGAAGGACCTTTAAATGTTTGAAGTTGCCATCTAAAACAAGGATTATACATGCTTCTTGCTAGCATGGAAAGTGAAACTGTGACAGAGAAGTGGGTACTGGTGAGAGAAAGAATATAATTTCACAAAAGAAAAAACTCAGTAGTAATCTCTGCAGCCAAAATGGCATGCATTGATGAACGTGGTGTTCCCAGTGGATCTGAGTAGAGGCTGGTGATTGTGGGAAGATTCTCACACTGGGTGTCATGTTAGACCAGCTGACCTCTAAGGGCCCTATCATGTTTTATGATTTTATAATATAGCAGGCTGTACAGACCATTTTTAATATAGTCTTAATTTTTATAAAAATGTATTCATGCATATATACATAGTTATAAAACATAACCGTTAAATTCTAGTTAAATGCCACCAAAGATAAAAATAATAAAGTAGCTTCAAATTGTACTTATTGCAAGGTGACCTATCTGAAATGTCTTCTTGGTCATATTATAAGAGGACTTAAGATGCCAAAGGGGAGGATCATAGCCTATTCATATTTCCATCTCCCACAAAGTGTCTGGCACACATGTAATAATTAAAGTAGACAATCTTTATTGAATGTTCTCTTGTTTAAAGAAGTATTTTAAGCCCATTATATTTAATAATTCACTTAACCATCAAAACTGCTCAATAATTTTGACACTATCATTATTCCATTTGACCCATGAGGACACTGGCACTCACTGGGGTTTAAATGACTTGGCCAACATCACACATCTAATAAGTGCCAGGGCTGAGATTTGAACTCAGAAAGTCTGGTTCCAGAGCTTGTGTTCTTTACCATCACACTCTACTGCCTCTGCTAATGGAAGGTACTCGGTCAGTGTTTATCCAGTTGATGAACTGATGGATAGATGGACGAACGGAAGGACTAACGGGGGTTGCAGCACAGAGTCGCCTGAATATGTGGCAATGAACAAAGAAGGGCACAGATTACACGAAGAGCAGATGCAGAAAGGGCCGATGAGGGAGGGACGCTGGCAACACCTCAGTCACTGCTCTTCTTTGAGTTGATTCCGCATAGAGCATCTTAGGGTGAAACAGAACGACGTGCATTAGCACAGAGAAGCAAAAGCTTCTTCTCTTGGGTTCCTCCTCTTCCTTTGCAGAGGAGATGTTTTCTGTCAGAATGATTAGTTAGAAGTGAACAGTGAAGTCCTTCAATTAGCATTCCTTCAAAATGCCATCTGTAAGTGACTAAAGAAGTGACAGCCAGAAGGCAGAACACAGGGCTATCTCCGCACAGACAAGACAAGAGCCGGGAAGGCAGGGACGCTCGATCAGCCGTTTCCAGCAATGTTAACGGGTCCACCCACTAAACTAAACAAATGCTTTCTTCCTACCATGGAGACAGAAACTGAAAAATAATTTTTGACAGCACTGTATGATTTAGTGGGTGCTTGCAGACACAGCCTATACTTAGTTTTATACCATATTTAATAGAACATTTCAAACTTTCATAATTATTTGGCAGCTTTTAAAAAATAAAAAATAAATAAATAAATAGCAAATGCCCACTGGGTTACTCAGTGCAATGAAAATACCGTATCATCAGGACTTTGTGATGTCTTGGCAACTCTTACCCCAACTCTATCCAACACCTGCTCTCCAGGTAGGTCAAGGTCAATATACTTGACTACTTCAAAGCCTCAACAAAAATGTTCTCCATCACCATGTTATCAGGTGTCCACGTCAGCTGAGAAGCCTGACTGGTCCTTTTCATGCCTGTGGAACAAGGGACTGAATCTTAAGGAGAGTGGAGACCTTGTGTTACTTACATTCTGCATTCAAGAAACTATTTCTATGAAGTTTAATGATCAATGATGCTTTTTCCTTCAAAACTATCCAAAGATTTCAAATCTGTTTGTGCAAGGAGGCACTGGATTGAACTGAATTTCTAGTTTCTTCATCGACTGGTTCCTTCATTCAGTAACAAAACTGAACATTTTAATGTGCTGATACTGTGTGAGAGCTTTACACACATTAACTGATTTAATCAGTATGAAAACGGTCTGCAATAAGCACATGTATTCCCATCTTACGGGCAAAGAAATGGGCTGGAGAGGTTTCAGGAACATGCTCCAGCTGGCTGAGGTGCATCTGATGAACTCTGTGCTTCCAGTGAACTTGTAAGATCCAAGTCTCCAGGCGAACATCAAGTTCTTCTAGGATTCATCCCCAGCCTTTCCCCAGTCTTCTAGGACTCCTCTCCCTTGCTCCGCCTTGAACTCTGTTGTTGACATCTTTCTTGCCCTCTACACCGTTAAACGATTCTAGAGTGGTGCTATACATTGGAAATAAAATGCGAGCCACACATATAAATTGTATTTTAATATCCACTTTAGGAAAGCAAAAAGAAGCAGGTGAAAGTGATTTTGATAATATATTTTATTTACCACAATATATCAAAAAATTTATTTCATCCTGTAATCAGCATAAAAATTACTAATAAGATATCTTATATTCTTCTATGGTATTAAGTCTTTGAAATCTGGTTTGTATTTTACATTTGCAACACACCTCCCTTCGGACTACCCACATTTTGAGTGCTCCAAGGACGCTGGCTAGTGGCCACTGCATTGCCCGGCATATCCTAGGGGAGGGAAGGAATCCTTAGTTGTTAACGTGTCAGACAACATGCTATGGCTCATAGTTGTCCTCCTGATGTGTATCTTCTCCTCCCGATGTGTATCTTCTCCTCCCGTCTGCAGTATAAGAAGCCTTCACTGGGCACGTGTCTGCCAGGTACAGACTACATTCCCTGGCCTCTCCTGCACTCAGGGTCCCATGTGACTGGATCTGGCACCTGAGATGTAAACGAAAGTGAAGCGTGCCATTTCTGGGTTACGCCCTTAAAGAAGGCATGTTCCCAGCCCTTCTCCTTCTCTCTTTGTGCAAGCTGGAAGGCAGGTATGGTGCCAGTCACCTTCAACCACCTGAGCACGCTCAAGGGACAGCAGAGCCACAGACGGGAGCTTCTGTTTCCTTACCACAGAGCCAGCCATGGGGACCATGTCCTGAGAGAAAGAGGTTCCTGTTTTGTTCACACAACTATTGTTCATCTATGACAAGCACGGTCATCTTCATTTACTTTCATCATTTCTAGAATCTAATTCCGTGCTCTCTTGGTGGGGTTAGACCCAACTCTTCCTTCAGGTCTCAGTGAAGCTTTATTTCAGCAGGGAGGCCTTTCTAATGTTCTGAAGACTAGGTTACAGCCCTCACTCCATACTACCATGGCACCCTGAGCTTCCCCTTTCTCAGCATCCGTGCACAGGGTTATTTAATGTTGGTGTTCGTTCTAGACCTCTGTGTCATGGGGGCATGCTGTGACCATCTTCTGGGCACTTGGCACAGTGCTTAGCACATAGAAGTGCCAAACATTTGTTCAAAGAATAAATGTAATTAAGAGGCTTAACATGTAAGTGATGTGCTCTTGCCCTTCCCGGTTTGATGGGAATACAGAATCTCTTTAGATTTTCCTGGTTCCTGTTAGAGAGCATCAGAATGACAGTGCACACAGGCAAGGCTAGCTGGGAGGATCGAGTGGCCTGAGTGTCATGGGTTGAGTTGTATCCCTTACAAAGATATGCTGATGTCCTAACACCCAGTACCTTGGAATGAGATCTTCTTTGGAAATAGTGTCATTGTGGATGTAATTAGTCAAGGTAAGGTGTATTAGTCTGGTCTCATGCTGCTAATAAAGACATACTCGACACTGGGTAATTTATAAAGGAAAGAGATTTAACTGACTCACAGTTCCACATGGCTGGGGAGGCCTCACAATCATGGCGGAAGGCCAATGAGGAGCAAAGGCACGTCTTACGTGGTGGCAGGCAAGAGAGCATGTGCAGGGGACCTCCCCTTTATAAAACCATCAGATCTTGTGAGACTTATTCACTACCACAAGGACAGTATGGGGAAAGCCACCCCCATGATTCAATTATCTCCACCTGGCCCAGCCCTTGATCTGTGGGGATTATTACAATTTAAGGGATATTTGGGTGGGGACACAGCCAAACCATATCATAAGGTCATACCAAAGTAGGTTGGCTCTAACTGAAACATGGCTGGCATCCTCAGAAGAAGAGGAGGGAGACACAGCAAGAAGGTGGCCATGAGATGATGGGAGCAGAGACTGGAGTGACACAGCCACAAGCCAAGGATTGCTGGCAAACACCAGAAGCCAGAAGATGCAAGGAGGGATTCTTCCCCATGGGTTTCAGAGGAACATGACCTTGGAGGCACCTTGATTTCAGACTTCTGGCCTCCAGAACCGTGAGACAACACATTTCTGCTGTTCTACGCCACCCGGCTTGTGGCACTTTATAATGGCAGCCCTAGGAGCAAATACATCAAGGCAGAAAACCCGTCACAAACCTGCTGGCATGCCCGTTCCTCCTGGCTACGACTCCACAGCCTGTTCCCAGGGGTCAGCCCACAGGCCAGGGCCAGGCGGCATTGCTGGCTAGTGGCCTGCAGGAGGGGCACTTATCAGTACTTCCTCACTCCCAACATGAAAAGTCAGGTAAAGAAGTACAGGAAGCTCTGCCAAGGAGTGGAAGGGATTTGTACCTCCTTAGGACAACTTCCCAGGTAAGGGCGAGTGGAGGACAGGGTGTCCCCACTACAGGAAGAAAGAGAGACATCATCATTCAGCTCTCACAGACATTCCTCCTTCAAAACAGACCCTCTGGCAAAGGTTATCCTTTAAAGAAAAAAAAGTTCTTGCTCCTCTGTCTTGAACTGGGAATAAATTAGGAGAGATAAGAGACAGATATTACTCCTTTTTAAAACTCTGTATTCCCATTGAAAAGAGTCAAGGGTACAATTCTCAAGTCTGTGTGTGTGCACAGTGCTTACATGTCTCTCTCTCTCTCTCTCTCTCTCACACACACACACACACACACCATATCCCACTTACAGACTGAATACTTTGCACCACAAAGTATTTTCAGCTGCTCTTCTCGCTCCTTTCCCTTTCAATTCAGAAGGCTAACTCTAGCTCAATTATCTCTTCCTTTTGACAGAATTCACATCAAATGCAAACAAGATGAGACCAGGATTCTGCCTGGTTCTGTTGCCAAGGTGGGTGGGAAGTCGGCAGCAGGGATCAGTAGCTGTAGCTGCTTCAGCCTTTGTTGAGGCTAACTCTCCTCCCAAGGTGTCTCAAATAGAAAGGCTTGTTCCTGATGCTTTCCAATTATTTTCACTTCAAAGAAATACTTTAATATATTTAGTTCAAATTGCATGATGGTAATTATGCTTCTAAATCTGATCAAATGACGGGAGAGAGGAAACCTTTGCTTCCATGAGGGGATATTTGTTCTTCAATAGATGGGTCTAATTTTCCACAGTGGGAGGACTCACAAGCACTGAGACTGGCTTTTTTCATTAGTTATTTATAAAGCTCTTATTAGATTGGTTAAATTCACATGTGGGAAAAAAGACAAATTATTGTTAATCAATTTCTAACCTATACTATTCATAATTTAGCTGATAGAAACCTCTGCTCACCAAGGGGATTTTTATTCAGGCTGCAAATCAGTATCATGTTATAGAGTGTATTAATTAATAAATGGAATATTTAGCTTTTTATAATTAGTGTTTGTATTTATTACATTTGTTATGTTACTCCTCTCCTCAACGATCCCATTATAATTCCTATTCCTCAGTAAATAAAAGCTCACTCTCTGGTTTGGAATTCAAGCCTCCTCCCAACACACCACATGACCCCGCCGTGCCAGCCATTCACACTGCTCACAGGGTCTTCAGCTCCCTTCTCCCTGAGAGCTTGTGGGAAGGGTGTGCTGTCCTAACCCAGTTAGATGTCGTCAAATGCCTTGTTTGGCCAATGAAATGTGGGTGGCAATGACATGTGTAACTTGAGGCCAGAGCCTTTAATTTCTGGCACTCAACTCTCCATCCCTCCCACCATCCTGCTTCCTGAAGGAAGGGCTCCACCTGCCGACCCTGATGGAGAACGAGGTCACATCAGTCTCCCTGCCAACCCTATTGGACAGGCCTTACGCGTGAGAAACAAACCTTTGTTGTTTCAAACCACTGAAATGTTGAAGTTGTTTGTTACTGCAACAGACTTTAGTCTGTGCTGACTAATACATCCAGGATATTCTTTGGGAATTCTAGCGGCTACATTCTATTTTTCAAGTGAAATATGCTTTGGAACACCTATACATAATAAAAGCAGAGATGGTCATGTTGAAGAGTGAGATGGGGTGAGTGTGTGTGTATGGGGATGGGGGAGGATTGAGATTCTTCTTTATCTTCTACTGAAGCCCCCGATGCTTTGCAACCTCCGCACATTTCTCAGAACTCAGGCTGAAACCCTGTGATCTAGTCCAAACCAACCTTCCCAGCTAGGGTTTCGTTCAAAGGTCACAACTGGTGGCTTGTGAGCAGGGTCTGGACACACACACACACACATTTTTTTTTTTTTTTTGGCTCACAGAGTGCTTGAAAAGAATCTAAGACAACATTTACAGATTGGGAGATCAACGTAAAAGATGCATCCTAAACTTCCCTTGCTAAAGTGAAGAATGAGGACACCCTGGGCCTCCACTCCTTCCCTTCAGTTGCTATTTGTCATTACACATAAATGTCTGTTGCATATAGGGAAATATTTCTGTCCCATGTCTCTATCAAAAGTGGGAAAGGGCTGTGTTTTTCTAAAAGTAAGAGAAAGAGTGTATTTCTTTGTGGAGTGCATAATTCTCCTAAGTATGAAAGTGAAAAGCTAAGATCAGTGTTTCCCACCCCTCATTTCTCTCGTTCATGTCACCTGTTGCTTCTTATTGGCTTTGGAATGTGGGACCTCTCTTCTAGCCTCTTGCATCTACCTCTATGGTTTGACTTCTGAAAATGTGGTCCCTGGTCCACCTGGATCCAAGTTAGCTGAGTTGCTCGTGAAAAATGCAGATTGCAGGTTTCATTTCAGACCTACTGGATTCGAGGTGGTGGTGGTTTCTGCATTTTCCATAAGTAACCCTTTCCCTTGACAATTCTTAGGCACAATTAATCTTGAGAATTACTGCTCTGTGGCTGAGGTCATCATATATTCAGAACCAAGTTCTACGAATGGGTAAAGAATTTTTATTCTCTTCTAGCTTTGAAAGACCCTTCAGAAGGTAGAATTTGGATGCCAAAATGCTATGATTTCTGAAATGGTGTCCAGGAATAATACAATGAATTATTTGAAACCGCAGCTGTTCCCAAGATTACAGATAAACTGAACACCAAGTTGTCTTCTGAATGCTGCCCTCACTCTCCTCCTTCCCCACTTTTGTTCATGCAGTGTCTTTGCCAAAAGTCCTTCGGCCATGTTTCCTTACAAAATCTCACGCATCTTTAAGGTGCAGTTGAAATGTTAATGAAAATCAATGCATCCTTACTATTATCTAAAGTCAGTTGTGTCAAAACTTTTAGAATTTTTCATTTTTCAATAGAGATTATTTTTAAAGACAGTTTAATTTCACGGCAAAATTGAGCAGAGTACAGAGAGCTCCCCTCTCCCCTCTCCCCTATACATGCACAGCCTCCCCCACTATCAGTGTTCCCCACAAGAGTGGTACATTTGTTATAAATGCAAAATGTACATTGACACATCATCACCCAAAGTCCTCAGTTTACATGAGGTTCACTCCTGGTGCTGTACTTCCTATGGGTTTGGACAAATGTATAACATTTATCCACCTCTGCAGTATTATACAAAAGAGTTTCATGGTCCTGAAAACCCTCAGTGCTCCACATACTCATCCTTTCCTCCCCAAACCCCTGACAATCATGGATCTTTTTACTGTGTCCAGAGTTTTGCCTTTTCTAGAATATCATATAGCTGAAACCACACAGTATGTAGTCTTTTCAGATTGGCATCTTTCACTGGTAATATGCACTTAAGGTTCCTCTATGTCTTCCCATGGCTTGACAGTACGTTTCTTTTTAGCATGGAATAATATCTCACTGTCTGGAAGTACCAGTTTATTTATCCATTCATCGACTGAAGGACACCTTGGTTGCTTCCCAGATTTGTCAATTATGAATAAATCTGCTGTCAATATCTGTATGAAGGTTTAGTTGTATACATAAGTTTTCAACTAATTCAAGTAAATACCAAGAAGCATGTTTGCTAGATCATATGGTAAGCGTATGTTTAGTTTAGTTTTTTTTTTTCTTTTTTTTTTTTTTTTTGAGACCAAGTCTCCCTCTGTCGCCCGGGCTGGAGTGCAATGGCGCAATCTTGGCTCACTGCAACCTCCGCCTCCTGGGTTCAAGCGATTCTCCTGCCTCAGACTCCCAAGTAGCTGGGACTACTGGTACTCGCCACCATGCCTGGCTAATTTTTGTATTTTTAGTAGAGACGGGGTTTCACCATATTGCCAGGCTAGTCTCGAACTCCTGACCTCGTGATCTGCCTGCCTCAACCTCCCAAGCGCTGGGATTACAGGCAAGAGCCATTGTGCCCGGCTGTGTTTAGTTTTCTAAGAAACTGCCAGACTGTCTTCCAAAGAGACTGTACCATTTTGCATTCCCACCAACAGTGAATGAGAGTTCCTGGAGCTCCACATCCTCCCCAGCATCTGGTGGCATCCATGTTTTGGGTTTTGGCCATTTTAGTAGGTGTGTAGAGGTATCTCATTGTTTTAATTTGCAAATGCCAAATGACATATGATGTTGAACATCTTTTCATATGCTTTTTTGCATCTGTATATCTTTTTTCGGTGAGGTTTCTGTTCAGCTCTTTTGCCCATTTTTAATCTTGTTGATAGTTTTCTTACTGTCAATTTTGAAAAGTTCTTTGTATATTTTGGTAATAGTCCCTTTATCCGATAGGTCTTTTGCAATATTTTCTCCCAGACTGTTGAATGCTTTTTTTTTAATGGTTGGTCTGTTTCCAGGAATCAGAAATCAGGCTTCACACCCAGCCCAGATGTTCAAGTGGTTGTTTGACTTGTCTGCCATCTGCAACTGTCTCTCTTCTGCTTTGTACTCCACGCCTCTCAGATGCTGGAGAAACTGGTCATTTGTTCTCTATAGCATCTCACATTGTGAATTTGTACAAGGCTCAGTGGCTTCTTGAGCCATGGGTTGTGTGGGTCTATAAACCAAACAGACAGGCCTTGGACAGACAGGGGTTTCCTTCAGGCAGCACAGCCTCAGCCACAGCAGCATCCTGAGGCTGAGGATGTAACACCAAGATATGAAGATATAACCCTACGTTTCTAAGATGCGGCTGTTCTGGGGGAAGATATAACACTACGTTTCTAAGATGCGCTGTCAGTGAGTGACATGAGAGAGAAAGTCTGCATGTCTTAGTTATCAGCCATGTGAGAAGGAATACCTGGATCACTGAATCATCTGGGCATAAAAGCTTTTTTATGAGTTGTGTTAAAAACTGCTTTTTGTGGATCACATGAAGCAACTCTGAAATGCATTATCCTGATCATCATTGTTGCTAATCATGTCCATTTTGGGCCATGCACTGCACATGCTTATCATTAGTCAATTGATTAAGTTTGCACTCTTTGGGAGAGGCACTACTCCTATCCCTATGTTATAGCTGAGGACGCTGAGACATAAAGAGATTAAGACGCTGTCAACCAAGCCAATAACAATATTTTCTCTAAGCTCATGAACAATGTTTGGCTGTGCAGAAAACCAATGACATCAAAAGGAGAGCTTCTAGAAGTAAACATGACTGATGGTAAAGGACCCCTTCTAACCAACCCTGGGAAATTAGCAAGGTTTCCCAGCACCCCAAGCTACTTGCCTTCCCACCCCTTCTCTTCTGAAGCAACATCCCGACTCTGGAATCCATTCCCACATTTAAAAAATGGGATAATGTGAGCTGTCATTTATGTGCATTGACTGGTAGGGATGAGGATAGTAAGAGTATCCTGAAGGAGGGGACCAGTAACAAGCAGGGAAGAGAGAAATGGGGGATTTGGGAGTAGCAACCTCTGGAGTACCAGTGCATTTATGGAAAGATAATAGTTAGAACACAGTGTTATCGGCTAGGACTAATGATGGTGGAGCAGTGTCGGTGAGGGTATGAGGTGGCTCTGATCCATGCTCTACGGTGAATGTGTGGGAAGGACAGGTGTGGAATGGTTATAAGTACATGCTCTGGAGTAGAAGGCTCTGGATTAAAAACCTGACTCCACAGCTTAGTAGGTGCGTAACCCTGGGGATGTCGCTTAATTGCTTTAACCTTCACTTTCTTCATTTTAATTGTAGGAGGAGAACAGCACTTACTTCATGCATTTGTGGCAAGGATTGAGTTAGATGATACATATCCAATGTTAAGCACCATGTCTGATAGAAACTTCTTAATATGTTGGAAATCTTACTATTTTATGGTTGATGAACGAATGGTTCTAGTGACTTTCAGGGTATGTCTTCTGGCCCAAGGCTAACAGCAGGTGTGTATTATAAAGGCAAACTGATCTCCCATGTAGAGGGAGGAGATGGGATCTGGAAGGCCTGGGTGCTACTTGTAATACTAGATTGACTAAAAGGAGGGTAGAACGGGAGGGGGCTGCTGCTGTACCGTAGAGTCTTGATGAATTTATGGCTGTCATTCTGAAGATTTTAATCTTGTCTGAACAAGTCATAAAAAAGTCTTTTATACAATAGCCAAGACTCATGAACTTCTGTTTGCTGCACACTGTGCTCTTTCTGTGGGTTATTCAGGTCATTCTCACCACAAATATATGGGATAAGTACCATTTTCATCCTAAATAACCTCTGCCACTAAATAACCTTTGCCCCCACTGCACTAAGACTTTTACATGTTTTAACTCACTTAATGGCTGCAACGGCCCCAGGAGGTAGATACTTATTAATTACCCTCATTTAACAGAGGTTTATGGAGGTGAGGGACTGGACTGAGGGGGCTATGGGGGCGACCTAGTCTAGCTGGGTTCTAAGGCAGTTGCTCTGCCCCCAGAGCCCTGCTTCGAGAGCCTCTATGCTTCTATGAAGGTCACAACCAGAAGCAGTCCGGCCTGCAGTTGCTGTTTTAAAAAAGAGGTTGTAAACATCACTCACTGCACCACAGGGTGGCCGTGACACAAAGTCAGATGTGAGCATTCTTTTAGAATCCACTGTGAGGAAAAGCCTGCTTCCCCCAGGAATCCACAGGCTTCTATTCTGATAATGATGATTATATCACCACCAGAGTCCCCTTCAGCCTTGATCATTGAGACACCCTAGACAGGGGGAAAGCATTGAAGAACCTCTGTGGTCAACCTAATTCTTTGCTATATCCATGATCTGGATTTTCAGCCTTGACTTCTAGTTTATTATGATAGTGTTAGGTCTGTCCTTGTTACATGAGGAAAGGTATTAATATATTTAAAAAGCTATACCGATGACATGGGTATAGAGACAGAAGATGTGACTTCTTATAGTTAGAGGTCAAAAAGCCATAAGATATTCAATAACTTAGAGGCTTGAAGAAAGATCCCAAAGGGTCTCCAAGGCTGGAAGGATGGGCTGAACCGAACCACAAGAAATCTAATGAGGGTGACTTAAAGGCATGAACACAGCGTTATCTGCACCTCAGAGCTGGGCAAGGTCTGACTCCCTGAGGAAGAGCCGGCAGGGATTGCCATGGGGACCACTCCCTGCCAGGCATAGCCTTTTCCCAACCCTGAGCGTCCGAGCAGGGTTTCAGGCAGGGCGGGTCGGAAACCTCAGGTGTGCGGGGATGGGAAAAGGGGGTGAACCCTGTGTTCCCCAGACCTGTACTGACTGAGTCATGTTACAAGTCAGGAGTTGTTGCAGGGATAAATGGGAACAGACCAAACACTGTGAAACTTTCTTTTTTATTATTATACTTTAAGTTTTAGGGTACATGTGCACAATGTGCAGGTTAGTTACATATGTATACATGTGACATGCTGGTGCGCTGCACCCACCAACTTGTCATCTAGCATTAGGTATATCTCCCAATGCTATCCCTCCCCCCTCCCCCCACCCCACAACAGTCCCCAGAGTGTGATGTTCCCCCTCCTGTGTCCATGTGTTCCCATTGTTCAATTCCCACCTATGAGTGAGAATATGCGGTGTTTGGTTTTTTGTTCTTGCGATAGTTTACTGAGAATGATGATTTCCAATTTCATCCATGTCCCTACAAAGGAAATGAACTCATCATTTTTTATGGCTGCATAGTATTCCATGGTGTATATGTGCCACATTTTCTTAATCCAGTCTATCATTGTTGGACATTTGGGTTGGTTCCAAGTCTTTGCTATTGTGAATAGTGCTGCAATAAACATACGTGTGCATGTGTCTTTATAGCAGCATGATTTATAGTCCTTTGGGTGTATATCCAGTAATGGGATGGCTGGGTCAAATGGTATTTCTAGTTCTAGATCCCTGAGGAATCGCCACACTGACTTCCACAATGGTCGAACTAGTTTACAGTCCCACCAACAGTGTAAAAGTGTTCCTATTTCTCCACATCCTCTCAAGCATCTGTTGTTTCCTGACTTTTTAATGATCGCCATTCTAACTGGTGTGAGATGATATCTCATTGTGGTTTTGATTTGCATTTCTCTGATGGCCAGTGATGGTGAGCATTTTTTCATGTGTTTTTTGGCTGCATAAATGTCTTCTTTTGAGAAGTGTCTGTTCATGTCCTTTGCCCACTCTTTGATGGGGTTGTTTGTTTTTTTCTTGTAAATTTGTTTGAGTTCATTGTAGATTCTGGATATTAGCCCTTTGTCAGATGAGTAGGTTGCAAAAATATTCTCCCATTTTGTGGGCTGCCTGTTCACTCTGATGGTAGTTTCTTTTGCTGTGCAGAAGCTGTTTAGTTTAATGAGATCCCATTTGTCAATTTTGGCTTTTGTTGCCATTGCTATTGGTGTTTTAGACATGAAGTCCTTGCCCGTGCCTATGTCCTGAATGGTAATGCTTAGGTTTTCTTCTAGGGTTTTTATGGTTTTAGGTCTAACGTTTAAGTCTTTAATCCATCTTGAATTGATTTTTGTATAAGGTGTAAGGAAGGGATCCAGTTTCAGCTTTCTACATATGGCTAGACTGTTTTCCCAGCACCATTTATTAAATAGGGAATCCTTTCCCCATTGCTTGTTTTTCTCAGGTTTGTCAAAGATCAGATAGTTGTAGATATGTGGCATTATTTCTGAGGGCTCTGTTCTGTTCCATTGATCTATATCTCTGTTTTGGTACCAGTACCATGCTGTTTTGGTTACTGTAGCCTTGTAGTATAGTTTGAAGTCAGGCAGCGTGATGCCTCCAGCTTTGTTCTTTTGGCTTAGGATTGACTTGGCGATGCGGGTTCTTTTTTGGTTCCATATGAACTTTAAAGTAGTTTTTTCCAATTCTGTGAAGAAAGTCATTGGTAGCTTGATGGGGATGGCATTGAATCTATAAATTACCTTGGGCAGTATGGCCATTTTCACGATATTGATTCTTCCTACCCACGAGCATGGAATGTTCTTCCATTTGTTTGTATCCTCTTTAATTTCATTGAGCAGTGGTTTGTAGTTCTCCTTGAAGAGGTCCTTCACATCCCTTGTAAGGTGGATTCCTAGGTATTTTATTCTCTTTGAAGCAATTGTGAATGGGAGTTCACTCATGATTTGGCTCTCTGTTTGTCTGCTATTGGTGTATAAGAATGCTTGTGATTTTTGTACATTGATTTTGTATCCTGAGACTTTGCTGAAGTTGCTTATCAGCTTAAGGAGATTTTGGGCTGAGACAATGGGGTTTTCTAGATATACAATCATGTCATCTGCAAACAGTGACAATTTGACTTCCCAACTTTCATTTACGTTACCTGCAAACTCAATAGAGGCTGAAAAATTTGTTGCCTATTTAATGAATTCATCAACAAATGCTGATTGAATGACTGCTCTGGGCTGGTCAAAAAGGGTCACAGGCGAGTGAGACAAGTGCAGAAAGGAGGATGATGCAGGTGGGTGGGGCCCAGGAGTGGCAGGTGGCTGTGGGGACCTAACTGGGCTTATTGAGAGGCACACAGCCAGTGCTCAATAATGCTAACGGTAAAAGAGTAATATTGATTTATTATACATTTAATTCTTTACAGATAAGTGTGATATGGCTGTCCCAAAAAGCTTGCTCAGTTGTAAACTAGGCCATTGGTCTGCAGTACCAAAAAGTCAATTTGGGGAACCACCTTCTGTGAGACATTAACAAACTGTAACCCATTTGGGCAAGGCTGCCACGGAGCCAGGAGCAGCCTCACAGGAGGCTGAGGAGGGGCATTAAGCCTCCAGAGAAGAGACCCACAAGAGGATGTCACAGGCCGCCTGTTCAGCTACACTAAGCAGCTCCCAGGAGTGGGTCTCAAGCCATGAGTGCATGTTTCAGGGAGGCAGTTTTAAGCCTCACGTAAGGAAGAACTTTTTAAAAATTCCTCTCTTCCTAAACAACCTTCCTGAAAGATCTGAACTTTTTGCCACTTAAGTTGGACACCTGCCAAGGAAGGAAGGTGTGCGGAACCCATTCCAGTAGTGGGAAAGAGGTTTGGTGACTAGGCTTTAAGTTCCTTTTCAGCCTAAGATTCTGTGGGGCTAAGAAGACGAGTGACTTTTTGTCTAAGTATCTTTTCAGTGTGGCATTTGTAACATTGCTCATCTCTATGAAATGGAATGATCCATTTCCTATCAAGTGAATTTGGGGCATCAGTTCTCAGTTTTGACACAATGACTTGGGCAGATTATTAAATCACATTATGTACTGGTCTGCCTGTACATGGCCCAATTTAACCCTCGAAGGTGGCTATGGGGTGGGGAACCGCCAATTATAATCTACAATCTCTTTTGCTAACTAGCATTCCACTGGTCAGGGAAGTTCCAGACAGCTGCTGGGGACAGCCAAGCTTTCCTCTCGGCCCAGCACGCAGCTGTTCAGGAAGGGATGCTCTCTTCCTTTGAGCCCTTCCCCCTACCCTCCATTCTCTGCCTCCTCTATATCTTGACTCTTCTCTCTGCTCCTGATGGTACCATGCACAGTTGATATTTTCTGTCAATTTAATCCCATTTTAGGTGGTATTTCATATTTTCCTACCCTCACTAAAACCTCCTTAAACATTCAGTAAACTATATTTTCATAACGGGTTTTCACGTCCAGCCTGAATCACTCCCTGACCACCCAAGTAAGCTCGTTGACTTACTTTTCCATCTTTGTATGCTCAGTGCAAAACATAGGTCCAGGTTTATAATAGGTGCTCAATACATAATAGTAGATGAAATAAATGACCTACCTTTTCTGACACATGGGAATGCCTTTCTATATTCTTATTTTTGGTAGTGAAGTTTCTGATAAAACGTATCCAGGGAAACACGTTGCTAATAGAAGTATCGCACACGTTAGGCATAAAAGCTGTACCCTTTTTTAAGTGCCACAGAGGACTAATAACTGTTAGTTTGCAATCACAGACTACAAAAGAAATGATTGCATGAATAGCTGAGATTCCAGGTGTTAATTCAATAGCAAAAAAATGTGTGTGTCCTTGTACTTTAGTTTCTGATGGTTAGGAGCTGATGTGTACTTGCTTTTGAATTCACTAAAATCAGATTCAAGACCTTCTATAAATCTGTAGACTCAAAGGAATGGAAAATGCCCCCAAAGGTCACCTGGCACAAACCCTGCCTTTAGGCAGAACAAGATATAAAACTCCTTGTCGACTGTCTATCCTTTAAAAACCTGTCTCAAGGAGAATATTTTTAAGTATTTTCTTTTTCTTTAACCTCGGAAACGCTTTTCCTGAGGGTCAGTCCTTATGGCTCCATTACACATGATGAAAAATTCTCCCCTGCCATATTGTAAGATCATTTCCATTTGCTCTGTCCTCAGCAGAGCAGGAAAACATTGGTCAGCTTCCTCCGTATCATGTCCCTTAATACACTTAATAAATCCGCCCTGAGCTCCCTTTTCCTCAGACTTCATAAATCCAATTCCTCAAGCCGATCCTCACAGATCAGTTTTGCAACCCTTTAATCATTTTAATAATTTTTGTCACTCTCAGTTGAATCATTTCCAATTTATCTGTAGCCTACTTTTTTTCCCCCTCAATTAAACACCATGGTAATGCAAAACGGACCAGAGCTAAGAATAGGAAAGTTTCACAGTTCTTGAGTGTTATAATTCCTTTTTTTTTTTTTGGAGATGGAGTTTCACTCTTGTTGCCGAGACTGGAGTGCAATGGTGCGCTCTTGGCTCACCACAACCTCTGCCTCCCAGGTTCAAGTGATTCTCCCGCCTCAGCCTCCCAAGTAGCTGGGATTACAGGCATGCGCCACCATGCCCAGCTAATTTTGTATTTTTAGTAGAGACAGGGTTTCTCCATGTTGGTCAGGCTAGTCTCGAACTCCTGACCTCAGGTGATCCGCCAGTCTTGGCCTCCCAAAGTGCTGGGATTACAGGCGTGAGCCACCATGTCTGGCCGGGTGTTATGATTCTATGACAACATCACAGAAACATTTTGGTATCTAAAGACTTTTCTTTTTTTTTTTTTTAAATTAGAAGAGCACCAGAAAACTTTTTCACCTCCTGTTCTTGGGCAACACTACCTTCCAGATCTTTCTCAGCAGTGCTTGAGAAAAAGCACTTAGTCCTAGTGTTAGCTGTTTATTCATCCTCGCAGAGAGAAAATGATCCATTCTGAGATCAAAAAGAATGGCAAAGCCTCGAAAAAGAGAGGTAAGAAACTCAAGGCTTTTAGAGCCAGGGAGGAGCCTGGAGAATAGGGGGCAGCCAGGTGGGCATGGTGGCAGATTGGAAGCACCTGTGCTGTTTAAAGGAGGGGATGGCCTTTCATGTTAAGCTGATTTTTTTCTTCACATGAGAATGCCCATCTAGTGCACCAGGAGCTTCCTTTGGGGGGAAAAAAAGAAAAAAAGGCTGGGCACGGTGGCTTACACCTGTAATCTCAACACTTGGTGAGAGGCCGAGGAGGGTGGATCACAAGTTTAGGAGTTCGAGACCAGCCTGACCAACATGGTGAAACCCCGTCTTTACTAAAAATACAAAAATTAGCTGTGTGTGGTGGTGCGCGCCTGTAATCCCAGCTACTCAGGAGGCTGAAGCAGGAGAATTGCTTGAACCCAGGAGGCAGAGGTTGCAGTGAGCCGAGATTGTGCCACTGTACTCCAGCCTGGGTGACAGAGTGAGACTCCATCTCAAAAAAAAAAAAAAAAAAAAAAAAGTTAAGCCACAAATCGATATTTTAAATTTAAATATAAAATGGCTTAATTAATCCATTGTGCAGCTCAACCCTGTGTGGGCTCAAAAAGGTGCAAGCAAGGTTTTGCCCATGGGCTCCTGCATTCATGCCCTTGCCAGGAGGCTAATCCTCTACCGTCCTTATGATTTCTATAAGAAATTTCTGAAGACATATGCATCGTTGAGAGGCATGTTCTTTACACATGAACACTTTTATAAAATTGTGTTTTAAGAGGAGATTTTAAAGGGCAGGAACCTAGGCTCTTTACTCTCTAATGATGAAATTCCAGATGCAGTGGCTACTAAAAATGACACAAATTTGTGGAGATGAACCTTCTTGATGCTTTGTAATAACTCAACCATCACAGGATGTGCGGTATCATGAAGCGTGATTGTCCCTGAGATCGCCAGTGAGGCATCGTGAAGTGTGACTGTCCCTGAGGTCGCCAGTGAGGCATCGTGAAGTGTGACTGTCCCTGAGGTCGCCAGTGAGGCATCGTGAAGTGTGACTGTCCCTGAGATCCCCACATCAAGTTGTTGTTTCCAGTTAATCTGAGACCAACGCGAAGCCCATTGAAGAAATGCACCCACTTGTGCTTAGTATTCTAATTTTCAAACCCAGCAGGTTCAATTCCCTTACAAAGGTTGGTCTAGGATAGAGTTCTGGGTATAGAAAGGCAATTTAACCAAAATGCTTTACCCTAATTACACAGCAAAGCTATTTGCATAAGTAACCAGTCTGGGTATTAAGAGACCCAAGAGAGTCAATGTTACTCCAGCAGAAGTTATGTTTTTGCTAACCTTCAAGAAAATAATAGCAAGTCAAGACTTCCAATGTTCTATTTGTAAAAGCAAATGATAGAGGATATAATCCTTTATCATTTGAATGAAATATGTTGGAAAGAGATTGGTCTCCATTGGAAGTGGGCTGAAAATGGCCCTCCTTTCCCCTGTGGCCATTTTTGCAGGAGAGGGTGTTGACCGTATTGAGCGTGGATAAGGGAAATAGTTTTTGTTATATCAAAAGAAGCCAGTCCAGACATGATTTTCTTCTTCCAATATGGAAGATGCTATTTTTAAAGAGGCCACTGATCTTTTGTTTGCTATAGAAAATGAAGTAATCTCTTAGGGTAATGGACTCAAACTATAACAAAGGACAGGTTATCTTAAAATTTGATAAGACATTTCTAACAGGTAAACAATGACATCGTTTACTAGGAAGAAAAATAAATGTTCTTTGTGGAGATTTTTAAAAATAGACAAAACAATCACCTGAAGAGATTGGCCTATGAGGCTTAAATCACGGCACTGCAGGAGCAGTTCAATTTGTCAGATTGGAAATATGATGTAAGTTTAAAAAATAGAGGAAAATAAACACAATCTAGATTGCTGCTACATATATAGTTCAGATGATTTAAACTTTTGCAACAAAATGATGCTTGGTATTTATCAGTTTTCCCTTCCAATAGAATATAAACCGCACGAGGCCTAAGACTGTGATGTCAACTGGAAACAAATCCCTTCATTTCTAGACTCCTGGGGAATTGGCAATAAGGATAAAGAAAATAAGTATTATGAAGGATGAGCAAAATAATAATGCATCTTTCATGGACTCCACAGCCATATCTGACACCGTTATTTCTGTGAAAGGTTTTAGCCCATGACAATTGACTGGACACGTTAGGAATTATGGTCATACTGTCACCATCTATTCAAGAACACCCAGCCCTCATGACATGAGCAAATAACAGCACTGACCTGCCTAAGTGACCAGACAATCCTTTAAAGGAGTATCACTAAATTGCAGCATTCCAAGGCCAGGGGTCAAGATGAAAAAGAACGATCCAGACTGCAAGTTGCCAGGTTACTGCAGAATGAAAGTGGCAGATGGGTTGATCTTAGGAAAAAAAAAAAAATCTGCTAACTGGTGCAGAAAACATTAGTCTGGGAGAAGAATATCTCACTTTAGCGGAGACAGCTCCCGCAGTTCCATTCATTACGATCCGCGGGAAGGCTAGACTTGCTGTGAGGGTTCAGCCAAGGCTCAGGCCCACGTTTCCCCCTAACACAGACACACATGTGCACACACACCTACATTGTTGTCACTGTATGCAGAATCTCCTGCCAAGAGCCAAAGTGACAAAAATTATACAGTAGCTTGATGGGAATAAGAACACAAGTGTACCTAATCTATTCAATGTAAGTCTGAAAATGGAAAGAGGTCTACAAAGAACAGTATTACTAAAACAGTAACAGAGGTGGTTTCATTTTTATTAGTAAAAAATGCTCTAAAGCCTCTGACTGCTGCAAATATGATAAAACAGCACATCCCAAGCTCAGAAAAATGGTTTAAAACAACTCTAAGGAAATGACCCCCCCCTGAAAATCAAATGGAAGTGGAAACACACTTGGCCAAAAAGGGAGGCTCTGGTGCATAAGACAATATAATAAAATTATAGGGAAACAATATGATAGAAATGAATCTGATGAAGTGTATTGCTATTGTAAGTAAATTCATGCGGAGAAGTATTGAACAAACCACAAGAAGGGACACCTCGTTGGTAGGGATGACACCTTTGACGTGCTAACAACTGCTCATTTCTCACGGTCAACAGAGCGGGCTTCCTTTCAGGTCACCATATTGAACACACCTGGCTTGGACTGAAATTCCTGGTGAATTGGTATACAAGGTTTGTCATTAACTCTGCACCCAAAATAACCACACAACCAAGAGGAAGCTCTTTCTACCTTTTAATGTTGTGAGATGATTGTTCTACACGAGGAGAAAACAATCACGTGTGACTATGTAGAGCAAACGCGGAGAGGCAAGTGCCCCTGACTCTTACTTGCCGTCCTCCTGGCCTCCCTGGTGCACACAGCTATGGGGGCTGGAAGTTAGCATAATTACTTCCAATTAAATTAAGGTGGCACAGCTTTTTCCCCTTTCTCTTTGAATAGCTGTAGGCTTAAGAAACAATATCCGTGCTGATGATATTCCATAACAATATGGTTTCATCAATACTGCTAGGTGTAAGAACTTTGGGAGTCATACATTAACCTGCCTTCCTCTTGCCTCTCAGAGAAATGCCCATCTGGCCTCCACAGAACCACTCTTGCCACGGTTTCGATTTCTCAGGTCAGGACCAGGACAAGTTCCACTCACTTAGGAAAGCAGATGTTTAGGAGTTTCCTATTTGGCGACTCATGAAAATGATAGACTGGTTTCTAGAAATAAAAATTTGGCTGCCTCTTAAGCTATTACATTCTCAAACTGTGACGGGATATTCCCATTTGAGCTTAAAGATACATGTTTTGTTTGTTTGCTTGCTTTGTTTTTTGAGATGGGGTCTCGCTCTGTCACCCAGGCTGGAGTGCAGTGGTGCGATCTCAGCACACTGCAACCTCCGCCCCCCGGGTTCAAGTGATTCTCCTGCCTCAGCCTCCCGGGTAGCTGGGACTACAGGTGCATGCCACCACGCTTGGCTAATTTTTTTTATTTTTAGTAGAGACGGGATTTCACCATGTTAGCCAGGATGGTCTCGATCTCCTGACCTCGTTCGTGATCTGCCCGCCTCAGTCTCCCAGAGTGCTGGGATTACAGCACATTTTTTTTTTTTTTTGAAAGAGCCCTTTCTGCTTTTTTTCATTTGTTTACAAGATAAATTTTTGAAGGTAAATGTGGGCAAGGAGGTAAACAAACTGAGCCACTACATGAAGGAACCCGAAGTTGGACTCCTTCTAGGAGGTGATTTTCTACCTGAGCATGCTGTACGGGCCTTGCTGCTGCTGTTGTTTTTAACTTAAGAATGACTTTCCCCTGTAAGACATCTCATGAGAAGGCGGGGAAAGCACTACTTTACAACGAGCATGGGAGGTGGGCTTATCTCCCAGATCCATCACTGAAAGCTGGGCTATCTTGGGGAAATTATTTAACTTTCCTGACCTTTTGTTCCCTCCTCTATAAAATGGTGACAAATAGAATACCTTCCTGACAGGGTTGTAGAGAGGACTAATTGAGACAACCAACGTGCCAGCATTTTGGGAATCATTAAGGTCTATGAAAAGTTGGTGGTTGTGTAACTGTAACAGCTGTATTTTAGGACCCCAGGAATTACGATCTTCTCAAAGCAGAAATGTATTTCTTTGTAACCTTATTATCTAGTATATTTCCTGGTGCAACTAGGATCTCAGGAACTGTAAATAAACAATAGATTTAAAGAACAAATGACTGAATGAATGAGAGAACCAAAGAAAAAGGAGTAGAGAGAGTGGAAAAAAACAAAACAAAACCCCAGAGTCCTTGCTTTCTCAAGATTTCTGCAAATGAAAGATATTTATTTATCCAACTGGGCAAGGACTCTTTAGGCAGGTTGCACAGACAGGAGTTGGATGGTGAATGTGGTCATGATCTTGAGAAACAAACCGGGTCTGAGCTGCAGGACAGGGTCAGACCATATAAGGCTGGGACTGGGACTCTGAACAGTTTTTTGGGGGTAAAGTTTTATTTTGAGGAGTGATAGGGGTTATGGGGAAAAAGGGTGAAGAAGGCAAGGTTTTAAAACAGAATAAAACCAAGGCCAGCTATTTTGAGGATGAGCTTGAACAGATCTGAACGCGAGGGACAAGGTGACAAAAAGCAAGAGAGGGTTAAGGATCTGCGTCTGTGACTCACGCTGGCTTAGGAGGGAGGTGATGGGTGGGGAGGAAACTGGAGTTGGGGGATAGCCGTTTGTCCTGATGATTAGAGGCTGGTATCTGGGACCTCATTGTAAAGAGACTAGGTCCAGGGAAAGGGGACCCAGTGACTAGGGGCTGAAAGAAAACTTTGTTGCTGTGGGAACCAGGAGACCAGAAGGGCTCTGGTTCCAGGAGGACTGCGGGGAGGCCAGGAACCCACCCCTTGAAAACTGCACTAGGAAGTCCAGAGCGGCAAGCTCCTTAGTGCTGCCGTCATGGTGCCTACTACGGAGTCCTCTGGGTTCCTCTCCCCTGAAGCCAAGGGTGTCCCCTGGTCTCAAGCAGCACTGAACTTTGAGGTGGCAGTTGAGAGGCCCAATTGTTAGTTAAAGATGGGCCAGGGGGAATATCTTCATCACAAGATGCATAAAAGCGACTCTATACATGTCTTATTTCCTTTAAAAAGCATGAGGCCAACGTGCAGTGTCTTCCAGGCTGTTTTCTAAATTGTGCCATGAAAGGGCACATTCACACTACTGACATGTCCTGCTTTTATTGTTACACCTTCCTCCAACTGCATCTACTGAACATCTATTATATGCATAGTACCAACGAGAAATCAGCATCCAACTGTTTTCCCCCTTCCTGTTATCTGAAAACACAGAACAGCGTTAGATAATTTAAAATGAAAACAGCAAAAGTGACCAATAATAACACCGTATTAACCTGGTTAAGTTTTCTGGATTCTGGATTTCTTGTGAGTTTTTATCCATGTACATATATTTTTGTAATATTGTACTCATAGTAAATGTAATTTTGTGGAGCTTATTCTTATATGACTACACTGCCTTTAGAGATGAATCTTAATTTTCAGGCATTTGGTTGTGGGATGCTTAGGCTATGAGAAGCTGGATCTCAACATTTAAAGCAGGATCATTTAAAATGAGGAGTCAATTGTGTTACTTCACATGTGTTTCATTTGAAACAGTATATCGTTATGCTACTATGATAACTACAGCAAATCCTCCTTAGGACTGATTTAAGCATTGAATAAATAAAGTTAAAATTGAGTACACTGCCATTTTCAGTGCTTCTTGACTTCTACACACTTATCAACTACTACAAATCTGATGGCATCCACTTTCCAGTGGGTTAGCTTTCACCTCGACAGGTCTCAAGGTTCTTCTTATGGGATTTTAGTCCATGGCAATCACCACCATTTGAGCACAGTCACCTAGTATAGCTGGATATTTAAAGAAAAGAAAAAAAAGAGAAGCTAATGGCTTTTCACACATGCACTGAAAAAAATTAATAACCTGATAATTTCTGGCAAAGGAGAAAATTTTTTTTCCTTATAAGACTGCAAAGTTCAACATTATGTGATTTATCTCAGTGACCTGTAAGTAGTGCCTATAATTATTAAAAATAACCATCAAGCTGGCTTTTAAGAAGCTTCATTATGGTACTGCTAATACAATGCCCAACTCCATTACTTTTTTCTATATAACCTTAAAACAGAGCCAGTTCATTCCTAGTGTTTCCAAAGTGTTACTTTAAGAAGAAAAGTGGGCCAGGCGCAGTGGCTCACGCCTGTAATCCCAGCACTTTGGGAGGCTGAGGTGGGTGGGTCACCTGAGGCCAGGAGTTTGAGACCAGCCTGTCCGACATGGTGAAACCCCATCTCTACTTAAAAAACAAAAACAAAAACAATCCGCAAAAATTAGCTGGGTGTGATGGCGGGTGCCTGTAATTCCAGCTACTCGGGAGGCTAAGGTAGGAGAATTGATTGAACCCAGGAGACAGAGGTTGCAGTGAGCCAAGATTGCACCACTGTGCACTCCAGCCTGGGTGGCAGAGTGAGGCTCCTTCTAAAAAAAAAAAAAAAAAAAAAAAAAAGAAGAAGAAGAAAGAAGAAAGAAGAAGAAGAAGAAGAAAAAGAAGAAAAGTGGGCTAGGTATGGTGGCTCACGCCTGCAATCTCAACACTTTGGGAGGCCGAGACTGGTGGATCACCTGAGATTAGGAGTTCGAGACCAGCCTGGCCAACGTGGTAAAACTCCATCTCCACTAAAAAACAAAAACTAGCCAGGCATGGTGTCGCATGCTTATAATCCTAGCTATTCAGGAGGCTGAGGCAGGAGAATTGCTGAAACCTGGGCAGTGCGGGTTGCAGTGAGCCAAGATCGCACCACTGCACTCCAGCCTGGGTGACAGAGCAAGACTCAATCTCAAAAAAAAAAAAAAAAAAAAAGAAAGAAAAAAGAAAAGTACAGGAACATGACTCTTAAATAAGCCACCATTTCAGTGGATGCATTTATTGAATTGATGCTTTCAGTAAGTTGTTTCTCATTGTATGCATCATGTTAAAAGTTGTATTTAATCCACAGGTTTAATGATTAATTTCTTCCAGTTAGGGTAAAAATATAGTATTATAGAGTTTATAGTAATAGTGTTGATTTCAACTTACGATGGAGTAAACAGGTTTTGTAATTGCCTTGGGAAAGCCAGAACAGAAAAAGTAATTCTATCAGCAACATGGAAGCAAAATGAGTAGATGACTTCTTTTATCTGGGAAGCACATTTTCAATCACGAGTTCATGATTGACAAGTGTGAGTTTGTTTGGCTGGGGCAGGGTTCCGTGTGACTGACCTATCTTTTTAGGTTCATTCGTGTTGACCAATCTTTATGGATCTGGGAGCAGTAAGTCAACCTAGAATCACCAAATTTGGCTACTTATATGGTGACATCACAGCGCACCAAAACGTACATCAAAACCACTGAATCTGTTGGTTTCATGGGGTTCTGCTTGGGTAAGGACCCAGCCACACAGTTATAAGATGAAATCAAGAGTTGAGGTGCTAGGCCGGGCGTGGTGGCTCACACCTGTAATCCCAGCACTTTGGGAGGCCAAAGCAGGCAGATCACAAGGTCAGGAGATCAAGACCATCCTGGCTAACACGGTGAAACCCTGTCTCTACTAAAAATACAAAAAATTAGCCGGGCATGGTGGCGGTCGCCTGTAGTCCCAGCTACTCAGGAGGCTGAGGCAGGAGAATGGTGTGAACCTGGAAGGCGGAGCTTGCAGTGAGCCGAGATCGCGTCACTGCACTCCAGCCTGGGTGACAGAGTGAGACTCTATCTCAAAAAAAAAAAAAAAAAAAAAAAAAAGAGTTGAGGTGGTAGTTGCACAAACCTACCTGTGATAAGTAGAGCTATACGCATACACTGTAGCAAAGTCAATTTCCTGGTTTTGGTACTGTACTCTAGCTATGCAAGAGGTAGCCATTTGGAAAAAGCTGGTGAAGGGTACCTGGGACCTTTCTGTGCTATGTTTACAACTTCCTGTGTATCCATAACTATTTCAAAATAAAAAGTAAAGCACACATGAAATCAAGAGGACTATTATTTCCTCGGGGAGACTGGCAGAAGTTGGCTGCACAGTGGCTTCAAGCTGGAGGGAGATTTGGCTTCTATGAGGGCATGTGCGAGTCTAGCTCTCCAGATACCTTAGATGAAGGCCACTGGCCTGGGGATGGGGCCGGGGGCACTCACTGCCTCCCTCACTGGCAGCTGGACAGTGACTCCACACCATGGGGCCGGGGAGGTGGCAACATAGGTGCATGAGAGGGGGACTGCCCCCACCCTGCATATCTGCTGGCGCTGAAATTCTCTCAGGACAGCTCAGCCCTGCTTTCCAGAAGATGAGAGGACTTCACAAAGCTGCCCACTGCCACTGAGCAAACAGAATGTCCTGTGCAGGGAAAGCAGCAGAAGGGCCCAGAAACAGCCAGTAGCCAGGCGTGGTGGTGGGCGCCTGTAGTCCCAGCTACTTGGGAGGCTGGGCAGCAGCCTGGGCAGCAAGGTCAAGTGCAGGCTGCTGTGGCACTGGGCGCTGCCCCTGGCTGTGCAATCCCAGGGCTCTGGGTGAGAGCTGAACCGAGGCTCACATCTGCCCTTGCTGGGTTCCACCACCTTCTGGCAAAGAGCATTATTGGTTCAATGTTAATGCCACGGCCTCCCCCTAGCAGCACAAGCCCAGCCTCCGCTCACCCAGCCCCCTAGTGAGGTGAACCACGGCTCCTGTCCAGGGGCCCATTGCAAGTTTCCACACATCCTCCTGCCTGCTGCAGAGGGCCGGCGGTGTGCCTTGATACTTGGCTATGCATCCCATCCACCTCTAGCAGCCCCTGGCAGCTGCCTTGCACAGAAGAGTCACCTGGTGAACACTGACTGAATTGAGTCAAATAGAAAGCAGCTCTCACTCAGAGAGCAGCCCTCCACACCAATGTCAGGGAGAGGAAGGCTGAGCACAAGAGAATCTCCCTCTGTCCACAGAAATGCCTGAGCATGGAACTCTGGGAAAACTGCACTCGTGTCCAGATGCAAGTAAATGATAAACTCCTCGAGACTTCAGACAGAGAGCATAGACATTTATAGCGCAATGTACTTGTAACACCCAGAGACAATAAGCCCTCTTGCCAAGTCTTTGCTTTGGGAGTATAGGCTAATTGAGGGAGATTGCACTGTTAGTGAAAAAAGTGGAATGTTTAATACCAAGTAGGGAGGGGGTCTGCCTTTCCAAGCTGGGGAAGTAGGGAGGAGAGAGGAGGTTTGTGTGGATGGTGCTGTTCAAGGTTCCCCTCTGAATCCTGCTCACCTTTAAATACCTCTGGCAGGCCTGCATAAAGGGCCCATTTCCCTTCCTCATCTAGTCGAAAATACCAGCAGGATTGCTCTGAATGAGGAGACAGGAGCCTCCATTAAAATGCAGACGCCAATTACTCTGCAGGATGGGCACTAAGCTTATCCTCCAGACTTTTACTGGTCTAGCAATTTGATTAGTATCAGGGTAGTAACATATCTCCCTCCAAAGCGTGGAGAGCTCAGAGGGGAGGGATATAGTGAAAGACAGGTGGATTCAGCATGATCAGATCTGGATGGGCTGAGCCCAAGGAGAATGTGGGCTGGAGATCAGGAATAGGCAGGTGTGATGGAGAACTTACAAGGGTACCATGAAAGGGAAGAGATATAAACAAGCAAAAAGATATGAGCTTATCTGTTACGTATTTCTTTACAATTTTACATAAGGTTAGTCCTTATGGTGTACTAGAATAATTTCCATTTATGTGCAAGGTAAGATCATTTTTACATTTAGCCATCATCTTCATTGACGATGCAATTCTTAGAGTACCTTAGAGAATCTAGAGGAAATAGAGTGGTGGCCTTCAGCGCATTCCTCCATCTTATTCTCCTGCCCACACCCAGGACCAGAAGAAGAACACATTGTCATTCAGTCTGAAACCACCTCAAAGAAGCAGGGTTTGGTAACAATTAGAAGGTGAAAGAGAAAAATCACCTAAGCTGATCTAATTTCTTTCTAAAGGGAGGAAGTGTATTAATTGAGGGTGGGGAGGAGGAATAGCTTGAGGAAACTTGTGTTTCCAAGAAACAGCCTCACCAGTAGAGATTGTCTGTGGTTTGCCTGTTCTTGCTGTAGGCAGGTGCACAGTTGATGGAAGGCCATGCTTATGAGTCTTCGATGACAAATGATGGGTACATGATGGGTTGAAACTCTCCTGAGCTTTCTTCACTTTCTTGGCTTCTCTCTATGCTCAAATCTCTCTATGCATTTTTTTTTTTTTTTTGAGAAAGAGTCTTGCTCTGTCGTCCAGGCTGGAGTACAATGGCGTGATCTCAGCTCACTGCAACCTCTGCCTCCTGAGTTCAAGTAATTCTCCTGCCTCAGTCTCCTAAGTAGCTGGGATTACAGGTGGCCATCACCAGGCCCGGCTAATTTTTTTTGTATTTTTAGTAGAGATGGGGTTTCACCATGTTGGCCAGGCTCATCTCAAACTCTTGACCTCAGGTGATCCACCCACCTCGGCCTTTCAAAGTGCTGGGATTACAGGAGTGAACCCCTGTGCTCAGCCAATAGTTAATTCTTTATTTTGAAATATTCTAGGAGGAGGAAAAAAAAATCTGACCATATCCAAAGGTTAGTAGTTAATAGCTAAATATCAACAAAGAGGATACAGCTAAAGATTCCCTAAAGTTTGAGTCCTGGGTCTTATTTAATTGGTGACTTGAATAACATATTTGAAAGTAGGCTCATGAATCTACAGATGAATCTTCAAAATACCTTTATTATGATAAAAGAGAAATCCAATGCTGATGAGTAGGCTTGACTTATGATGAGAAAGCTGTTCTTCCAAATCAAAATGTAGTGAAGACATTTTACATAAAGACACAAGAAACTCCGCATAGTCATCTTTGTATCACAGATGCTTACCTAGTATCTGACATAGGGTCAATACCCATAAATGCTTCTTGAAATCAGGGTTCAGTTAGACACAAAGCTACAGAGCTTAATTAAACATATAACAAGATCATTGGTCATTATTACGAATAAACTCATGTTTACTGGCCTCTTCTCCCGTATGTGAAGAGGGATTTCTTATTAATCCCGGGTCTTAAATGAGTTTGTCCTCAGCAGGATCTCAAAGTCATAAGAGAGCTACAAAGATTGACAATTATTAGACAGTGTCAGAGTTGGAGGTGAGTCTTAGGTTGGGTTGATGAAGCAGGAGACTTCTAGTTCTCAAGAAAATGAAGAATAAGAGAGTGACAAACAGTGACCATATATGAGCAACGTATTACCCATTTGCCTACATATATTCATTTTGCACTATATGGAATTACATATTTTTCATTTCCAAGAATTTGTTGCTCATCCATTGTTGCAGGTCTGACAAATTACCGAAAGCAAAGCATAAAATTAGGATAGAAATCCCATTGTGTTAAAGTTCCATGGAAATTATGCAGAAACTCAACTGCACAGAAGAGTGCATTAAAGATACAGTGGTTGCCCTGGGGAAGCTTGCTTTCTTCTTAAGTATTAAACATGTCATTTTCATATTTGAGCAAAAACCTGAATAAACTCTGCCCTCAAAGAAATGAAAGATAACCACTGACTGTGCACTTCATATAAGCTTCACTGCTACATTTTAAAGTATCCTGAATAGTCCCATGATGTTAAGATAGCAACACTTTATTATACACATTACTAACGTGGCAAGCTCTGAAGGTCAGGGAGTGGCTGGCTGGTCTTCAGCTTGACCCATTTGGGAGGTCCATTTTCATCTTTGGATTATCTGGCCTCTCAGTTTGATTACTGGGGCCATAAACAGCTTTCCCGTGAGAGCTGAGGTGAACATTTCTTGCTCATTAGGCCTCTTCCAGACAAGCCTCCCTTGCATGCAATGAATATGCACTTGATGCCCAGTGAACATGCACTTGATACTCAATCATTGTTCTTGACTTGACATTCTGGTTGATTATCAGACATGTAATCCATCAGAACAGAGATGCAAACTGAGGATCTTGAATTTTGTTAGTTTCATTCCAGAGAAAGCTCTGTTGGGGCTGGGAGGGGTGGCAGAACGGATGTGGACGGCGAATATTGATGCGGTGTGTGTGTATATAATGTTCTCCTGGGAGAGGTGTTTCTTAAAAAGCCGAGTTGGTTTTCAACGTGATATTTAACCGAATGCTGCCAAATTGTGCTACCTCCCCAGCACGTTAAAAAAATCCATTAATAAAGTGTTTGTTGTTGTCAGAATGCCTATTCCAAAGCTTGGGCTGTGTGAAGGGCTGACTCCCCACAAGAGACCGATGACAGGCGAGGGAGGTAGAGGAGAGGGCTGAAGATGGATATGTGCTGCCTTGCTGACAAGTGGTGAGGACAAGCGAGGCGATGGATCAGTAGAATTTTCCATTAAATCAAGAAAAACACAACTTGCCCCCCAACATCACCTCTGATGGTTTCTTAGACCAGCTGCTTCTCTGACTCCCTACTGAGGAACAAATTGCTTTCCTGGCGGGACATTTGGACACTCCTGCATTAATAGATATGGATCCCAGCATGCCAAGCCAAGCAAGAAGGCAATTTAATATGAGCAACACTGTCATCTCAATTTAGGACAACAGCTAGAATGCCCTACAGGGCACTGCAACAGCTTCGAGAAGTACATGACAGAAGACATTCTCACTGTCTTGAGGCTAGAGAAAGCTGGTGTTTCTAGTAAACAGTCAGACCAAGGATAATAGAAAATGTAATGCAAAGATGACAGCAGCATTGTCCTATCTGTGAACATCAGTTTCAATTCATGTGTCTTTCCCTTCCGTAGTGAACGGAGGTCCTGTGTAGGGTACTTCCCTTCTATCTCAATCCCATCACAAAGACACAAACAAAAAGCCCAGTGACATCGTATCAATAAAGAAATAGGTAACATTAGATGACAGATGTTGTATACCTATGTTTGAGGAAGGTCAAAGTAAGAGGTAACTTCACGTTTGCATGTTCAAACTTACTTATCTATCTTTGATGCTATGCAAGACAAAATAAATGGAAGCCCTTTAAATTTCCACCTCCTAACACTAGCCTGTATGCAAGAAAAATATATTCTTGCTTTTTAAAAAAAAACTCTAAATGCATTATGTTTTGGTACATACTTTAATATTAGTTTCTATTTTATTTTTCCATAATAAAGACATGGTTGAATCCAGTGTATCTATTATGCTAAGATAATTTATGCTAGGATAATATTTTTGATAGGAATTCTCATAACAAATCAGCTTCATGTACCAATTACAAAATTGGGAGATAACTAAATTTTTATAAAACGTTTTGGCAATATCTACTGATACATCAGTTTATTTTAAGTCAGTGTGGTTTCTTATCAATCATATTGCCAGGGATTCATACATAAATTGAGAATAAAATATGTTCACATGTAACAAAAATACAAATGTATCTCCTGTTAGAGTCTCTCTAGATAGAGACAGAAAAAGTGACACAGTAGATTCACACTTGAGTTTGCTCACAGACAATGGCGATTCATATCAATTGCAATGCTTTTCATGGTGTCATTTTGCATTAGACACAAAATCGCAAAATAACTCAATTGGTCATTACCATGAACACTTCACCATGGAACTAGCTATGTGACAGCTCATAAGGCTATCATTATTATGTTGTCAAAAGTCCCTATTGCTAACATTTACTGTATGATGAAAAAGGTCTTTCCCCTATCTCATGTGTGTTTGATGAGGTGACATTGTTTTATAAATCAATTTCATGGAAAGTAAGTATTTATCTTAAAATGGTATCCTTTTATCTTTCTCTGTTCCTCCTCTTCTCCCTCCTGTTACTGTTTTTCTTCTTCTTTTGCAAAACATTTGAACACAGAAGCAAACCATTTTTCAAAATACCATCTGAGAAACCCATCAAGCATGGATAGCACCTGTGACCAGAGGAGAGCCTCTCAGCAAGAGAGAGACTGGGAATAACATTTCCCGTATCACTTGGGAAGTAAGAGGAAAAAAATGAACACAATTCAATCCATGAATTAAAAAAATTTTTTTTCCTATCCAGATAGTTCTCATTATTTTTTCATTAAATATTTTTTAACATAAAAATCCCTTGTTTCCACTATTTTCTATTTGTGAAAAGGCAAGAAAATAATACCAGCTTTCTGTGCATAGATCTATCACAGCACTTCCAAAAGGATGTTGGAATTATTTTAGATCGTGGACTCCCTGAGCAGCAAGGGTGGTCCAGTCTTGTATTTCCAGCACCCATGAAAAATGACTCCATATAATATTGGGCAGAAGTGCTCTGAATGAAATGCTCCCAAATAGAAAAAAATTGTTTTGTGTATCTATAGGAAGATATTTCAGAATTATATTTTATTTTTTTATTTTTCCAGAGACAGGGTCTCACTCTGTTGCCCAGGCTGGAGTGCAATGGCATGAACATAGCTCACTGTAGTCTCGAACTCCTGGGCTCAAGTGATCCTCTTGCCTCAGTCTCCCAAGTAGCTAGAACTACGGCTGCATGCCCCTGTGCTCAGCTAATTTTTTTTAGTATATTTGGTAGAAACGGGGCCTCACTATGCTGCCCAGGCTCAAAACTATCTTTAGACTCAACAATAGTTAAAACCAAAAATAGTTTAAATTGAAGGTTTTGAATTCCAGAGGGATTATGCTTTTCGGAGCTGAATTTCCTCAAACAACCGTAACCTCATCTGCTTGCATAGCATATAATATTTATCAAATACTAAACAAAAAATGGTGAATCTGGAGGTGAAGAGATATTTCTGCAAAGGAGTCTTGATGATTAAAAGTTTTCAAAATTATACCTTCACCTCTTATCAGTGCACAACATCGTAAGAGTTTGGAGGGAGACACTCATCTGCTTTCCTTCCCAATGAGTAGGTGTACGCAGGACGGAGCCTGTCAGAAGAGCAGGGCTGGCTGCTGTCCTTGCATCCGTTTGATGTAGGAGATCACAGGAAACAATGTGAAATTCTGCAGCCTGGTTTTAAAATTTCTTACATCTTTTACACATTTCAAAACATCAAATATGTTTGTTGTAGCTTGTTCTTACCTCTATTCTGCCTAAGCAAATGATATTTCATCTCTTAATGTGAAAATAAGATTTTTGAGTTGACACATTCATTCATTTTCTAAAAGGTGTGTGTGTGTGTGTGTGTGTATGTGTGTGTGAGTAGGGTTCTGTGTGAGATGGACGGGTGAAGCCATAAGGATATATAGTATAAAGCCATCCTTTATAAAACAGGACAACAAATCTTACACTAAAAATTTGCTCTGTAGAGTTGCAAGCCTCAGAAAGTTTAGGAGTGTCACCTGTCCTGTTCCTGGGCCTGGAGATGAGGGTCCACCTCTCCCAGGTCCTGAGGACTTTCCTCCTGGAGCCTAGCCTGCCAGTGAGTAGGCTGCTCTGATCTCTTCTCCCTGCACTCCAACATCTTGCTTTCAGCTTTGCCCTCTAAATACTGGAATAAAAGGGCCAACAGGTCAGGGATATTGGGAGCAGGAGAACTGTGGTGCTGCATGAATTTAAGGGATGTTTTTATTATAAGATCAGAGAAGGAAAAATGATCAGAAAGCAAAGAGAGGAAAAGTTTAGTTTATGAGAAGGCTGTAGGAGGCAGTTCCCGGAGCCTAAGTATTAAAATATGAACAGAGACAAGAGAACCTACCTGCACTTAGTATCCCTGTACTTGGGATCTTTGAAGGCTATACTATTTTAAAAAATTATTCTATTCAGCGCATTGCATCAGAAATGCTTCTATGTTAATCTGGAAATAGGTGTTCTAATTATAGATGCTAAAAATGTTCTGTATACTACTTGGCTATAGAATAGCCTACAGATATAATAAAAAATAATTATTTAAAGTAATTTTTGGAAAACAACCCAATAACTTAGATAATGTTATTAATATGGGTATCAAATATTTTAAATCTAATTATACCAATGTCTCAAATATATAACAAATATAACAGAAAAGATTAACTGAAAGATAGGTTTAAGTTGCCTGTAACCCAAATCTGTGTATATAAGCAATTTAGTATTGTGTATCTTCTAAAGACCACTGCTTGAATACAATTAAATGATCACTCACATATAATAGTGGGCTGATAAACCAGCTCTTTTCCAACCTTCCTAAAAAAAAAGGTCAGTCCCATAAATACTCTCATCACAGTCAGTTTCAAGCTGCCAACATGAAGTTGCTGAACATGGAGCTGGAAAAAGATGTGCATAACTGGCTCCTGTGAACCTGGTACAGCTGGCTCCAGCCTCCAGTAGACACTCATGTGTTCAGACACATGCATGTGCGTGCACACAAACACACCTGTTCAACAGATTACAGTTGCTTATTGTATTGTACTTGAGTATTGAATAATTGCTTCTTGCTTACTTTGAAAAGTACCTAAGCTACAACAATGGGCAAAAAGTTTCTCGAATGCACACAAACTAAAATATTAAGTGATATTTTCCTATTGTCTTCTTTTTTGTTGTCCTGTCTTGCTAATTCTTTCTTGTTTACATGCTATAACCATTAGAAGCTCTGCTAACATCTTAAATAAAATAGAAATATTAAAATATATATATAAATATAAGTAATATAAATAAATATAATGAAATAAAATCTCAAAGCATCAGTAATTGCTACATGAGGAGCAAACCCTCTGATATAATTTTACATTTACTCATCCATTCATTTGCAAATGTTTGCTAAGCACTGTAGGGGACAGAAAAGACTTTCTTTATCCTCTGAAGGTTCGATAATGTAGTCTATGAAATAAACTGACAGTAGACAGATCAACACGATAAAATACATACAAATTTATTACATACATATGCATGAGAGTCCCTCAAAATATAAGGCTCAAAGAAGGGGTAGGTAATTGGAGTTTATATAGAATCCCTGGGCTACAGAAAGGAATAGAGGTTTGGGGTCTCTGGCTGGGAGGTGGTGACAGGTTATGGAAAGGTGAGGGGAGGAAATGTATGATGAACAAAGGCTATCTTGTTATACCGATAGAAAGCCTCAGGAGTAGTAAAAGTTGTTTCAGTGCATCTCTCAGAAGAATCTGTGATCACCTGTGACAGAGTCTGTCTGGGTAAGGTATCACCTCCAATCTTACCTCCTGTGATAAGATCTTCTCTGTTTCATGAGATTCCTATGACAATTATTTTCCTTTATAGATATAGATTTCTTTTACAAAAGAACAGCTATTCAGAGGCACTTCTGTGTCTGCAACTTCTCAGAATAACCAGCTCAAAATATGCCAAAGAAGTACATTCTGGGGTGGCATGTTCTGGTCTCCTACCATCATATTTTGGGGTGAAGTGTCTTGAGCCCCAACGGCATCAAGTATGAACTTGGAGCCAGGGCTTTGGTGTACATTTCTGTAATTTGTGCTTCACACAAACAATTCCACCTATAAGGCCAGAAGGGCTGGGAAACAGGGCATTTCCCTCCCTGAACCTTACAACCTGCTGGATGCTATGCCCACATGAGGGAGGGGTGCCTTCTAATTCACAGCAAGATGCCTTCTGCTACCAAGTGCTGTGGCCTCTCTCTGCCTGAGGGGTGGAGTGAGGAACATCTGCCCATGGGTAGTAGCACCTTGTAAAATCTAAAAGGTGGGGAGGCAAAGAGGACACGCACTGCATCTTCTTCCCTTGCACTTCCTTTTACTACTAGAATGAGAGTTTCCTCTTTCCGTGATGCTCTAATATTCCTAGTCAGGCCAAGCTATTGCTAATCAGAACATTCTCCGGCTCTCCAGTCTTCTTTATTAGACTGGCCTCTACAGGGCTGGAGTCTCTTTTCTGACAGTGCCACTGAATCAGCTGTCTGAAGAACCCTTGCGGGAGACTGATGGACCTTCACAGACACCGTTTCTCTAGGTCAGCTCAGTTTACCCCAAGGCCACAGGCATTACTGCCTCCTTTAACACAGCACTGCTTTTAAACATTTCTTTCCCCCCACTTAGTCCCCAGAGACTTAGAGTTAACTTGAATAAATTCCCCTAATCTGAGATTGAAAAGACAGAAAAGATAGAAATCTTTTCTTC
Organism: Homo sapiens; assembly: GCF_000001405.40. Taxonomy (NCBI): domain Eukaryota; kingdom Metazoa; phylum Chordata; class Mammalia; order Primates; family Hominidae; genus Homo; species Homo sapiens. Next base: position 161,528,047 of record NC_000006.12, read on the forward strand.
CTTCAAAATACTTAACATATATTTGTGGGACAGAAGAATTTCCATAGATATAATATATGCATAAAATGTCACTGTTAAAGTAATCCTCAGGGGAAAGATTTTTCATTTGTGACTTTACTTAGCCATGTCATATTGAGACAGGATTTTATTCTGATTGGTAGTTTTTGGTTTTCTCTTTCTGTTTAGTAATGAATACTGGTAAACCTCCCAGCTACAAATATCTCCTGATATGTTAAAGAAACAGAGTCTTCCATAGCTGTAGTGGGTGCACAGCTGTGGGAACGCAATGTGGCCTCTCATACACTCCAGGAGCTGTTCCTCCACCCCTTCCATGAAGGAAAGGTGATGCCTTAACCCTTTTGGAGAGGTGAGCAGTCTTGAAGCCCTCAATAATATCCACCAGCACCCCAGTGAAAATGGGAAATAAGACAGGAACTTGGAGAACTCCCATTGAGAAAAGATCCTAGAAATCACAGCAGAGTGGCAGGGTCTTTCTCAACTGTGTCCAAGTGGAAATGGGGTTGTGTACAAATAGGGCCCCCTCATATAACACGCAACTGACTCCAGGGCACACCCATACTTTTAACGTCTGATTGCTTTCAAGAATGCTGTGAAAAGTTGTTGCGAGATACATGGGATTGAGACTTCTGCAGTAAAGGGTTGAGGTTAGACACTGAGTAACTTCTTGTCAGTAAAAGGAATTAAACACTGCCTCAGGAGATGGTATAATTATCTCCTGGGGAGGTGACTTTTTGTCTTGAATGATTAGGTGAAGTCCAATGAGAATCTAAGAGGCTGGATGAAAATTCTTGGAAATTAAGCCACAACTGAAAAAAGGAGCCAAATAAATAAGGCCTTCTCTGGGGCCTCATACCGTGTACCAAGGGTCGAAGAAGTAAAGTTTGCCTGACTCATGATTCTAGCTTAGAAGGCAGGAATCCTGCTTTGTTTTATTTGAATTATTGCATTGATATTCACAACAACAGTCTTGTTTGAATATCTTAATTTAGGAGTCTGCTACTTAAAACAGCTGTCTTATGTCTATGAGATATACGAGCCACAACCACAGACTCTACGCTGCGTTCCTCTCCCTAGTCACCGCATGCCTTCCTGTTCCAGTGAAATTTAGGGTATTGAAAGGCAAGAGTCTCATCTTCGAATATCTGATTTGATGAGTGATTGCTGGAAGTGGATGCCTTAGGGAAGGTGAGAAGACAATGATGGGGATGATGTTGACACCTGGTTGTGGCTGACGGCTGTGTCCCTCCAGCTGCCTCACCTGGGGCCGCAGTAAGCACCAAGTTCACAGGCTTAGTGAGGCGAGTCACACATTAGCCCATCTGCTCTGGTAATGTCAATACCAGCATGCAAGAAAGCTCCGAGTCTTAGAGATGGAAGAGGCCTCCTTTTGTAGAGGAACGGGAAACAGTGGCACAGGAAAGGTGAAATGGCTTACTTATGATCTCACAGCAATGGGACAGAGAAATGGCTGGTTTCTCTTCAAACTCACACAGTTTCAGTTCCAGTAATAAAACATCTAAACCTCCATATTTGGACGAAGTATAGTCTACTCATAGGATTACGGCAACTCAGTTTAAGTGAGGCTGTTTTGGAAGAAGCTGTCCTACATATAAGTTGTCTTCTGCAAAATAAGACACAAAAATAGTTTTGAAATCAAAAAAGATTTATAAACATTATTGGTACAACTGATTTTTGTCTCTGGCTGGAAAATTTTTCATGGGTTACACATTCTTTCATATATTTCTCACATTTGAGAAGTGGAGATTTAATTGCTTACATTTTGATGATGAAGAAAAATACCACTTGACACAAATTAATGTCAATCCTTGAGGGACCAGTTCCTTTTCCACGGCATATATAATAAAATAACACAGGAACATTAATCTACTTTGTAGAGTAGTGAAACTTATTGAGCATGTTATAAAAACAACAGAGCAGCAAAAGCATTTTACTTAAGAAGCATTTAAAAAAAAAACCCTCATTCATTTCACACCACTCTGATGTTTTAGCCAACAGTTTTTTCACTGGGCCGTGGCTGTGCACACGGGCTTCTTGCCATCACTTAAATGGACACTTCTCAAACTCTCCCTCACAGGTGTTCCTGGACAGCACAGGAAAGAGAACAAAGAGAACAAAAACTACTTGGATTGTCTGGAGGTCATAGTCCAAAGGAAGGGTTGTAAATTTAGACATTTTTTGAAGATTCACGTGTTTGGTTCAATATAAAAGTATCATTCCCCACCCAGACCTGTCCCAGTGTCTAGGGAAATGCACCTTCTCCTGTGACATTGCATATCATCTTCCATATCAGGTACCCTGGTTTGAAAAATCATACTTTTAGAAGAAATTGCCCTTTCCATTTTCTTAACTGCTCTGGAGACCAGCAGGAATTGGAGCAGCCTCATTCCGTGTCGAAGAAGACCTATACGGCTTGCTTCTTTTTTTCTTTTTTTCTTTTTTTTTTTTGAGATGGAGTTTCACTCTTGTTGCCCAGGCTGGAGTGCAATGGCATGATCTCGGCTCACCGCAACCTCCACCTCCCAGGTTCAAGCGCTTCTCCTGCCTAGCCTCCCAAGTAGCTGGGATTACAGGCATTTACCACCACGCCTGGCTAATTTTTTTCTATTTTTAGTGGAGACGGGGTTTCTCTATGTTGGTCAGGCCAGTCTCGAACTCCTGACCTCAGGTGATCCGCCCGTATTGGCCTCCCAAAGTGCTGGGATTACAGGCGTGAGCCACCACACCTGGCCCAAGGCTTGCTTCTTTTAAGAGAAAAAGGCTGTCATGCTGCTCTACTTCAGAGAACAGACCAATTTTTAGAGAGCTTCAACAATTTCTTTCTAATGATAATTCAAATCTTTACCAAAATCCTAACACATCAAATTTCAGTTTCATATTTTCAACTACCTACGGGATATTTTATTGCTTCAAACAGAACATAGCACTCCACCATCTGATAATAATGTTTATTTTACCTGAATGCAAGTTCCGTAAGTTCCATCATTTGCCCAGCCTTAATAATAATTGTGCAAGGCCGGGCGCGGTGGCTCACGCCTGTAATCCCAGCATTTTGGGAGGCTGAGGCGGGCAGATCACGAGGTCAGGAGATCGAGACCATCCTGGCTAACATGGTGAAACCCCGTCTCTACTAAAAATACAAAAAATTAGCCGGGTATGGTGGCGGGCGCCTGTAGTCCCAGCTACTCGGGAGGCTGAGGGAGGAGAATGGCGTGAACCCGGGAGGCAGAGCTTGCAGTGAGCCGAGATCATGCCACTGCACTCCAGCCTGGATGACAGAGCGAGACTCCGTCTCAAAAAAAAAAAAAAAAATTAATTGTGCGAACGCCACCCCCTACCCTCGCCCAGCAACACAGCAACATTGCTGAGGAAACTGATGCACTCCCACATTTTAATGACCCAGTGTTGGAAGAAGTCAACTAAATGAGTTAAAAGTGTCCCAAGGTAGGTGGCCCAGTAAGACCATCCCAAAGAAAGGAACCTGGGCAGAATCCAAAATAGGCTCAAAGGAGAAGATTTTCTCTTTAGGGGGCTTGTACGTGTGAGTGGACATAGATATATACGCTGCAAACGTGTAGGGGATATTTAGGAGCACTGTCCCTGCTGCTCTAGGGCACCTATTCCTTGGAAAGAGTCAGGGTGCTCTGAAAAAAATCATGTCAGTCTTACCAGCAAGGGAATTGTAAACCTGAATATCAGACATGCGGGTGGATTACCTGCGTCTATTATCCAGGCTTGGGAAATGGAGGTGCTCAGGGATGAGAAGGATTAGATTATAAAAGAACAGCTTTGAGGAATGTTTTGGAACTGTTACAATGGATCCCACTTTTAGGGATACATAGAAAAAGTCTTTGCAAATACCAGAGATACAGGCACTACAAGGAAATTAGATAGATGCCAAAAGCATTTAATAAAGAAGGAGTTTGGGGTAAAAATTTGCAAATCTTCACCATCCTACTCTTCCCTGAAACAAAAAACTAATTTCAATTTAAAATTTTCACTATGATTAGTTCTATTAAAAATCAATCAATCTATCCATCCTATCTCTGTCTTGCACTCTCTCTCTCTCTCTCTCTCTCTCTATATATATATATATATATATATATAATCTATCTATGTGTCTATAAGTACAAGATGCTTCTTGCAGAAAAATTTGCCTAGAGACTGTGATTTGTGTAAAACTAACTGGATTAAAATTAAAATTCGCAAGTTTTAGGGTTCACTTAAGCAAAAAAATAACTTTTTCATTGGTAAAATGGTAAATTTATTTCTGGATCTAGTTTGTGAAGCAGGAGTGTGTATATGGCTGTGTGTGTATGAGTGTGGGTGTATGTATGTAGTGTGTGTGTGTGAGTGTGTGTGTCTGAGTCTGGACCCAGCTCCCTACTCAGGAGTTTACTCCATACTCTATCTCTTCCAGAGTAGGCTGTGATTCCCAGTGTACTAATGTTAAATGTTCCAGAGACATTGAAAATATCTAGGGTTGTTATAAATTAGCTTTGTGGGGTTTTTTTACTTGCTTTTGTTTGTATTTTTGAATAAATGAGTTGAGGAAAAAACATCCTTGCTAAATAGAAATCATGGGTTACGAGACGGGAGAGACGCCCACGTGGTAATATGGCTGGAATGTCATGGTCAGAAGGTCTTTCCTGTCTTTCACTTTTTCATGTTCACTGGTGCATGCACGTGGATGCTGGGATATCTGAGTCAAGAAGGGTGGCTGTCACTGTCCACCCTTTATACCTGCCACCACTTCTCAAATACTGGTAGAAAGCCTCTTATAAATCTACAAATCTTGTCACTTGCGGGACTTTTCAATATGAAACCCTCTTATACAATTATATGTATGTTGGATACCATGGTGGATGCTGAGGAAACAGTAAGGAAAATTTGCTATTTCAGACTTGTAAATATTAAACTCATATTTTTAGATTTAAAAAAGGCAGCAAATTATGCAGCATAATAAAGATGGGTGAGTATAAATATTCTATAGTGTACCATATTAGCTATTAAACATTATACAGAGAGTGGTTATGAATTCAATTTCTAAATAATCTCTAAAATAAAAGAATGATCTAAATCTTCCACATCCCTGAGGTATTAGTCTTAAATGCATATGATATTACAAAACTAAAATTCTTAAAATAATTTCTGAAAAACTAGTGATACAGGAGTTGTAAAGAAATTACTTGGGCAGTGAGGGTATGGAAGTCCTCAGTAAGGTTTTCTTCTTAATGAAAAGCAGCCCCCAAATCATTTTCTTTTCCAACAAAGAGCAGCCTGTAAAATCGACCTGCAGACACAAACAAGCATGCTGGAAGCTTGCACAGGTACATGCTGGCAGTTGTGCCCGTAGGAATATACTACCTGGGACTAGCCATGTTCAAAATGGCGGCTCCATCTTCTCTTTTTGCCAGCCACGTGTCCAGTAAGGAGCAGACAAGATAGCCCCACCAAGTGGAAAGCCCATTTGCATAATAAGATTAGGGTGGGGCGACCAGCCTTCTTCGCGTGCTAAGTAAACGTCACACCTGGTCAAACCAATCTGTGAGCCCTACGTAAATCAGACACTGCCTCCTCAAGCCTGCCTATAAAATCTGCTGGGATCTGCCACCTTAACCCTTTTTTTCAGACATCTCTCTCTCTTGCAAGGAGCTGCCCTCCTCTCTCCTTTCTTCCGCCTGTTAAACTTTCCACTCCTTAACCCACCCACGTGTCTGTGTACTTAATTTTCTTGGCGTGAGATAAGGAACCCTGGGGATTTACCCTAGACTACGATGCTGCTTCACTAGTAGGAAGAGAAAAGATAAACAGCGATTCCTGTTTTATAAGGTAGGAAGGCTGTATATTCACACGACACTCGCCGTCACAGTGGTCTCTGTGACTTCAGTGAACCCCCTTTCCACCTGTCCTCCTCGCCCTCACACTAGATTACTTTTTCCAAAAGATCTGATCATGTCACTTCCCCTGGAAGCCCTTGCCTGGCCTCCATTGTCTGCAGGATGAAGTACTGAATCCTTAACCCACAGGGCCAGACTCCCTTTCCCTGTCCTGCTCTTGATCAGGCACCATGAGCCCACGACTCCTCTCCGTCGGCTAATCATTCCTCCCTGGCCGTGTTCTCTGCAGCTGCCTAGCTTTCTGTCCCTTCACTCTGTTCCAGAATCTTCTGCCTGAAATATTTCAGTCACCACTTCCAGGTCAAATTTCTCCATCCCTCAGTGCGCTTAATGAAGCTCCCCATTCTTGATTCCAAACCTTTTCCTTTCTCACTGCATCATTCATGATTGATACAACGATGAGTGTGCTGAATGCAGGCATCGTTGCTGAGGATACAAAAATGAATAGAAGGCAGCTCCTGCTCACCCCACCAGCGGCCCCACAGCAGCTCCACGTGTGGGCAAGTGGTATGCACACGAGCAATGTGATACACGTGACTATGAGATGTGTTCAAGGTGATGCGGAAACTGGGTACGAAGGCCCTTAAGTATCCTGGATTTCTGTGGGACATTCCCCTGCACAGTTACGTGTTGCCATGCGGCTATGCTGTTTCGCATAGACATGTCTTGTCTTCCCATTAGATGACGTGTTTCTTCAGCACAGTGGCTGTGACATCACCTCTGTGTGCCTGTAGCATCTAGCAGAGAGCCACATACATGCTGGATAACCAATTCATGCATGTAGAATAAACAATTTTCCCCTACAAGTATTACTGATTTATTTTAAATATAAGAAAGAATATACTGAATTTTCCCCCTTGGTGCATGTTTCTTATGAGTACAGCTTAGTTGCTAAAAACAGCGTGATTTCTAGTGATTGCGGTAGAAGAATAAAAGCTAAAACTCCTAGGACTTCTGTTAGAAATGTAAATCAGAAGCTGATATTACTTCAAGTGCTACGTGAAATACCACATTCAATTTGTAACTCCAAAAGCTTTAGTCTGTGGTACATGTGGTTCTACATGGTTTAGTAGTGCCTTTGTATGTGACATGAGAACAAAATAATCAGCAGGTGTAAATGTCAATCGAACTAGAGAATTTTCTAGAATTGTACCTCTGCTTTCAGTTTATGGCACTACTGAATGCAAACTCTATTTATCTGCACAACTTCAGAAGGTTATTGTGGCAACACCTTTTAATAGAAGGGGCGAATACAATTTTACGGGTATTATTGAGAGTTAGAGGTCTAATTTCTCATGCCTGGGAATACGGAAAGTGAAAAATATATATTGTTACAAAAAAAGATAACCAAGGAAATACTCAATTCTGTTAGAAATAAAAAAGAAGTAGTTTCATGCCAGAAGACTTTTTTCTTTTCCTGCATGAAAATATGAAACTCTGAGACTGCACACAAGTGAATGGTATTTGAGTAATGATAAAAGGAGACAGAAAAGACACCAGATGAGGCAGAGGCTGACATTTGTCCGCTCATCATCCATTTGCCCTTTTCTTCATAGGAACAGTTTCTAGCTGGGCACATCGCACCCCGAATACAGATATTTCCCAACTGCTTTGGGGGCTGGCCATGTAGCCTCACAAGTAACTTTTCTCTGTCGGAATACGAGTACGATGTTGTGTGCTACTTCCAGATTTGACCTTTAAAGAGACTGGGAATGTCCTCTTCTCTTTCCCCTTTGTTTCTGGTTGAAAAGTGGACCTGGGGCTGAGCCACCTTGCACCATGTAGATGAGGGCAACTAAAGGCTTGGTGGAGTGGAGCATCCCAGCTCCAGACATTTTATGAGAGAGAGAAATAAACTCCCATCCCCTTAAGCCACTGCAGTCTTAGGAACTGGCCACACACCACGGAACTAACGTCAGAATAATATAATGGAGCCTACTACAATCCATTTAGCCAGAGAGGAACAAAAAGATTTTTTTTTTTTATTGCTGATTACAGTTACAGTGGACACAACCATATTATGGAATATAATAATCTGGAGGTGATTTTGTTTGCTACTAAAACGCTCTCATCAAATACTTCTTTTTTTTCCCCAATATCTGCCCAAAGTCCTTAGTAAATGAATTCCTTTGGTCATTATTAAGAGAAATAAATGCCTGTGTGCCCATTAAGAGATTTTGATTGGAGAAACAGAAAGCCCCAATTTAACTGGCTTAAATAGAAAGGAAATGTATCATATCCCATGACAGGCAGTCCAACCATGGAGTGGCTTCAGAGCTGATGAACTCAGTAGGGCAATGAACTCTAGAAGGGCCTGGATCTTCTGAAACCTGATCACTAGTAAGGGTCAAGGGATTAGCAAGACTGGTTTAGACTACTCAGAACTCACTACTGACCCGGAAAATGAGGTCATTTCCCAAACTGGTCCACACTTGAAAAAAAAAAAAAATCTGTTCTGTTAGCAAGAGAAAGGGGGAGATGGCCGTCAGGAGGGAAACCGACATTTTAGTGTACAGTCTGTCTGCTGTGCACACAGAGATTCTAACCATGACCTGATAGAAACTTACCCCTGCCAGCTGCCAGCCAGGTGCTGGGGGTCATGCTCTATCAGCAAGCAGTTCTGTTTGTACAGGGAAGGTGCATAGCCTATAGAGTCGGTTTCATGCTGGCTATTTTATTCACATTCTGAGGTAGTTTGTGTCCCTGCAGATTTCTGATTATACATCAGTGACGTTTAATGTGATGCTCAGAATATTAAAAGCATACCCAGTAAGTGTTTTATCTAAATCATGTTTACAAGGGAAGTTCTGTGCTTTTCTGAGGTCTTGCAAAAACAATCTTTGGTTTCTTTAGACCAAGAAACTAAAAATAGACACAGTGACATAGCCTCCAAACAGCAATTTTGAGATCGAAAACCTCTGTTACATTAACAATGTGAAGCAGTTCCCATCCATCCCATTACAGGAAGTTCTGGGTCAATAGATTTAGTCTAACAAAGATCTTATCTCTTTAATCCTATCTTTCTACTTCAACTTTTCTTATTGATTAAGCATCTTCTGAACTTTACAACAATACAATACTGCTTATACAAAGCCCAGCCATGTCTTCACATAAAAGAGTTTTTGAGAAGCCTACTTTGATTTAGATTTCTTTCTTTCCAAATAGCAGCTATCTTCTGAACACATAGCTTTTCTACGTACTTCCTATTTACATGTAAAACCATTTAAATGAATGGTCTAAACAAGGTTGATTAATCACTGGGAAATTTCTCTTTCAGGACACATCCATTCCAAGCTCTACATTCTTTAAAAATCTAGCAAATAAAATTTCATCTTATTTCTGATGCAAATGACTAACATAAGTTGACTGGACTATCTCTTCTATTTCCTTCAGATAATCAGGGCAAGTCAAAATGCAGGCTTGTACAAATAAAGAACAATGCTTCAAGTTCTTTTTTTTTTCTTTTCTTTTTTCTTTTTTTTTTGAGATGGATTCTTGCTCTGTCGCCCAGGCTGGAGTTTAGTGGCGTGATCTCGGCTCACTGCAAGCTCTGCCTCCCAGGTTCACACCATTCTCCTGCCTCAGCCTCCGGAGTAGCTGGGACTACAGGCACCCGCCACCATGCTCGGCTAATTTTTTGTGTTTTTAGTAGAGACGGGGTTTCACCATGTTAGCCTGGATGGTCTCGATCTCCTGACCTCGTGATCCGCCCGCCTTAGCCTCCCAAAGTGCTGGGATTACAGGCGTGAGCCACTGCGCCCGGCCTCAAATTCTTAGGACACAATCAAAAGCTTGCATTTGATAATGTGTGTAAGAATTCTTTAGGCATATGTCACATTCTGCAAGTGGACTGGGTTTGTCTACATGGGGAGGCGGCCACGGGAAGAGTGAACACAGACTTCCTCCAAATTACAGCCCTGCCAGTTTAGCACTAATACCTTGAGAGGAATTGGGAAAAAATCGCTTGGCATCAAATTCCCAGACTGTCCCTGAACTCTGGTCAATAACCAACACGGCTTTGTGAAGAAAAATGTGATGTGTGTCAGGAACAATATTATTTCTGTCTGAAGGAGAGTAACAGGCAACTTTGATTGGATAAAGAAACAGGCATTCTTGGCCTTCTTCTACAGAAAGGAGGAAGAAAATTGCTTTTTGGAAGTGCAGCAATAGGCCCGCTTGACAAATTACCTCCTAGAGTGCAAGAGTGAGGCTTATCTGCTTCTGACTGGGTTCCTTCTCACTTGTACACTTCTTCTGATCCTGGTTCAAGAATGGGCAAACAGACAGGCAAGGGTTATACATTTGACCTGGGCCTTACCCATGGCCTTGTAGTTACTTGATATTTTTCTTCTCCTTGAAAAAAATTCTTAAATAAATTGGACTTTAAGAAATCTCCTTCTTAGTCTCTATCCACAACCTCAACTTCTTAATGGACAGTGGGGACAAAGGCCTGTATGGTAGGCTTGGATAGCTCTGCCAGGTGTACCTCCTAAGGACCTCCAAATCTTAGGGGAGGTGGGACTAAAGGTCAAGCCAGGACAGATCAGATTTGCCTAGGGGACACTTCAAGTTTCCACTTCTTGGTGCAAAAAGAGGCCAAAGTGAGTCTTTGAGGACTTCAACTGGTAGAATCCTGGGGCCCACTGAGATGCCAAGCGGAGAAGGAGGAAAAATGGCTGCATTTCTTGGAATCTCAGGAAATGTGATTTCTACATCTGTTGCAGATCCTTGGAGACCAGTGCCCATGGGACTGGCTGGTCTTTACCCAAGAAAAGCCCTATTACCTCCCAGGAGCTTGTAGAGAGATTTGATTGAATAACTGATCGACTTAGCCTTTCCCAGTGGAATGTTGGACAAGCGAGAGAAATGCCTGTCACTCTAGTCCTGAGTGCTCATTCTGTGTGGGCTCCCTTGAACTCTGCCTAAATGTCATGAACAACAGGAATAACAGCAGGTACTTAGCGCTGACCTTGGTGTTCCTGTTTCGTGTGAAGAGTGAGGGCGTGCTGCTTCTTCATCATGCCATGAGGCTAACATGCGATGTTCTTGGCATGTGCTAGACAATCTCTGCCCTTACCCCCAAGGGGCACTAGCTGAACAAAAACAACACTAAAATCCCCTGTAGGAAGTTGATTGCTAGAATACAGATATGTGCAAAGTTGCATTGGGATACGTTTTCCTATAACGTAAGAACTATTTAAACTATTTAAACATTTTGTGTAATTTAATTAAAACATCACTGATTTGCATTGGCTGCTCAATACATTTGGTGACATGTTTCAGAGACCCTATTTTGCGAAGGTAAATTAAATTTCCCAGTGGACTTCATTCTCATTAAAAAATGACATTCAGCTACATGGGTATGACAGGAGAGTTGCTCCTGACGCATTCCAGGTTTAAGAGTGGCCAGCCGGACCACCACCTGCATGCCTGGCTCTTTCTGGAACAGCAGCGAGCCTTCACGGAGTTGGTTTCTGTGCCCTCGGTCTCTGCCAGTGAAAAGCATATTTCCTTCTCCCTAAGTTTAACCTCAAAGAAACACTTTGCCTAAAAAGGTGTAAAATTCTACCTAATAATAATTATTGGTCACATTGCTTTTATTTTTAACATGTAACATTACTAAGTTTAATTAAGAAAAAAAGTAATTCATAAACTCAGTCCCTAAGTAACCATCAACTACATGTTCAGAAACCTCAAACATTCTAGAAGGTTATAAACTGAAAAGTAAAAGCTTCCTCCCTCACATCATCACTTCCTCTACCCAAAGGCAGCCACTGTTCCCGGGGTGTCTTTGATTCTTTCCAGAAAATATCTTATATGCTCATGTGCATGGATCCCCTTTTCATGCTGTCTTTACTTCATTCTGTGTATTAAAAGTGATTCCGTATCAGGACACGGATTGACCTTACTCTTCATAACAGAGTATTGTATTCCACTGTATAATTATGTCAAGAACATACTTAACTGCTATAATACTATGGAAAAGTGGATCGTTTCCATATTTTTATCTATTACAAAATAGTGCTGGAAAGGGGAAGATCACCATTCAGAATGCTGGGGGTTGGGGAGATGCAAGCTGCCTGTCTGGTGGGGGGCCGCCAGGTCTGCCCCAGCTGGACTGGACCCAAGCACTACATCCTTAGGATTGTTCTCACTGTTTGCAGAAGCACTTCTTCTGACATGGAAAACAAAAACACAATCTACATGTCATTTTTGTTGTTATTATCATAATGCCCCATGCAGTTAATGTTTTTGAGATTGACACATGGTGACACTCGCCCTATGAAAATATTTTATTTATCATTATATAAGTTATTCTATGAAATTTTAAAATCTCTCATATTCATTTAATTAACCCTTGGAAGAAGAGTTACTAAGCATACACGATCACAAAATTTCATCCCATCTTCTCTAATTGATCTTAAACCCATAAAAATATATATCAATGGCAGTGTTAGAAAGAAAAAGATTTTACTGTAAAAATAAATTGTAGTCTCAAAAATACATTTGAGGCAAATAAACCATATAATTTAAAAAGTCATACTTTCATTAGTTCTCTACAGAAATGAACTATTGTGGGCCTAATGGCTCTGATTTTTGGGTATCACTTGCTCATTGTGACTAGCAGTATGCAACTCAGCACTACGGATTAAAAAAATAAAGCAAGCCATCTGAATCCCAAGTTGCTTCATAAAACACCTGTCTTACAAAATGTACCACACAAAAGGTAGTTCTTGCTCTACAGAGTTTAGGAAATGCTGAGTGTGCTGTTCTGCTTGTTCAAGCAATACATCTTTGCATAGTGAAAGTTTTAAGTCCTATAGGAAAGAAATTGGTTTAATCTGGCTTACCTGGTGCCTCCAACTCTTGGATTGCAGCTCTCTGCTCCACCTCTCTGTACCCCAACTCCTGCCCTGCTCCTGGCAGCATCTGTTGGAACCTGGATTGCATGACCCGTACTCTGGAAAATGCTGCTCTATATTTTTGTAGTCAAGAAATTGCTTTATTTCTGGAAAGTTTTTTTCTTTTTTTCCCTCAACTACAGCTGAATAGCTCAAAGTGCTTGTGTTGAAAACACAGGAAACCTGAGTTTGCAAATGTTATTCCTTGGACAGACGTCCCTGTCCTTTTCCAGACTGGAACTGTCCAGTAGAACTTTCTGCAGTGATGAAAATGGGCTATATCTGCACTGTTCAATACAGTAGCCACTTGCCATGTATGGCCACTGAGTGCTTGGAATGTGGTTACTGTGATTGAGGAACTGACTTTTTAATTATATTTACTTTTAAATAGCCATATGTGGCTAAAGGCTGCCATGTCAGACACACAGCCCCAGACAGAGGTCAGAGCACGACCAAAATAAATGCACAGAAACAATGCTCTCCACACAGAAACAATGCAATCTTCACAAGAAGTCTGTTTTCAGGACTGTTCTGAGCTCTCTGCAGCTTATAAAGCTAAAGAAGTTTCTCCAATCGATTTGCCATAAAACTGATTTTCTAACACATTATTCAAAAAGATGGATCTTACGATTTTGAAAGAGTATAATTATTGGTCAGGTGCGGTGGCTCACGCCTATAATTCCAGCACTTTGGGAGGCTGAGGAGGGTGGATCGCCTGAGGTCAGGAGTTCGAGACCAGCCTGACCAACATGGTGCAATCCCGTCTCTACTAAATTTACAAAAATTAGCTGGGCGTAGTGGCACGTGCCTGTAATCCCAGCTACTCAGGAGGCTGAGGCAGGAGAATCGTTTGAACCTTGAAGGCGGAGGTGACAGTGAGCCGAGATCATGCCACTGCACTCCAGCCTGGGTGACAGAGCGAGACTCCGTCTCAAAAAGAAAAAAAAAAAACAGTATAATTATTTCATATTTACCTTTATTTCAACAAAAACTGGCTAAAGACAATAAGAATAGCTAGTGGTCTGTGTTGGGTTAAAAAATATACTTTTCTATGTGCAGCTGACCCTTGAACAACATGTATTAGAACGTAAGTCCACTTGTATGTAGATTTTCTTCCTCCTCTGCCACCTCGGTAACAGCAAGACCAACCCCTCCTCTTCCTCCTCAGCCTACTCAACATGAAGATGATGAGGGTGAAGGCCTTTATGGCGATCTACTTCCATTTAGTAAACAGAAAATACATTTTCTCTTCCTTATGATTTTCTTAATAATGTTTTCTTTTCTCTAGCTTACTTTATCATAAGAATATAGTATATAATACATGTGACATACAAAATACCTGCTCATTAGCCATTTATATTATTGACAAGGCTTCCCGTCAACAGTGGATCATTGTAGTTAAGTTTAAGCTATCTGCCGACTTTCAGTTGCAGGAGGGGTTGGCACCCCTCAACTCCCCGTAGCTCATCAAAGATCAGCTGTACCTCAAAATCACGGAACACTTTCTAGGAATGTCTGCCAACTGATAGATGCTTTCCAGATGAATGGTATGCAGAACTTGTTTGTACATTTGTGAACAGTTTCTTTAACTAAAATAAATACTCTCCAAAGCTTTCCATCTTTGCACTTCAAGCTGTCTCACAGGCAGAAAGTCTAGCGAGGCTTATTTCCAATCTGCAAATGAGCTGATCTTAGAGTTTAAATTAGATTTTTGGACACATGTCAAATAAACATGGACTGCATATTTTTGACATTTCATAACACCAACTTTCTTTTTTAAAATGCTCTTTGATGAAGAACATCTTGTATATCAAAGCCTAAAGTACCAACAAGATTTGATTCCAGTCTCTATGTGCTGGAGTGTCCAGGCGGTTGAGGCAAACTTACATGGGGACAGCTGGAGTGAAGGCTCATGAACCCACAGTTAGTCATCCTGAGAAACACCTGTTCTTTCTGATGTCTCCCTGAAAACATCATATATTTGGAGACTAGATTTTAATCTCTAGTCTTAAAAAAACTCAATATGGTTTAAAAAATATCTAAGCATAATTTAATGAAATTACATATTTTTACAAAAATAAATTAAAATTGGCTTGAATAAGAAAAGTAACCATTTTCTTTTTTCCTTTTATTATTAAATATTGATCATCTACATGTTTTCTCTTTCCAAGGTCCACCTATTGAAAAAAGAGCTTCACATCTATTTGTTAATTTGGATTTTAAACTCAATAATTAGTTAAATCTTTGAGTAAAAGGGTAGGTATCATCATAATTTATCTTCATTGACTCCTTTCCTACGTTAAAGGCTGAAAATGAGGTTCAGACTCTCATTTCACTAAAACCTCCAACAGTATTTTAATGCTGTTGTGATAAGTCGTTCAAAATAACCATTTTCACCAAAAACATATACACGTTTCTTTGCACGAAGTAGGTCATATCCTGTATTTGCACAGGTCTAAAACCACATTTGAGGGAGGCTTTACAACTTCATTTTTATAATTTTCGAAACCCTTTTTAAGAAAACCAATGCAAGAAGATGAACATGGTTAAGAGGATTTGGAAAGGGTCCATGCAAGTGAGGAGCCCAAGGTGAATGCCTCATTAGTTCCCTGACAAACCTGCCTCCGAGCGACACAGCATGGTGTTTGTTTAAGGACAGAGTGACTGTTAGATGCCTTAAGAAATTCTATCGCATTTCCTTAACTTATGGTCACTAATATGATTTTTGAAATTCGATTTTCATTTAAATGTGTATTTTTCTGCAGTTGCCACATTTTGTTTCTGGATTTCTAATTAAAAACAGAAAATTCCTTATCCAACTTCAAATCATTATTTTAATAAATTATCACCCAGACATGTAATACCCCAAGATAATATCAAATAAGATAAAGATGTTTTATTTATAGAGAACTCAGAAGGTTTGATTGCCATAGCTTTCTGCATTCCCAGGTCAGTGAGTATAATGTATTCCATATTTTGTTGCTGTTTTCCAGCACTAAACACGTCAGCATTTTGCATCGGAGTCATTAAAGTTTGTGAGATAGTTCTGATGAATAGCAATAAGGCCAGAAAAAAAGAATAATGCATAACATGAATTCTTTAGGAAATCAATTAATTTTTTTATGAGCAGTAGTAAAAATAGGATCTAGGGTTAGCAGAGTGAGGCTAGACTAGTATTTGGTACCAAAATACATTCTCTGCTGCGTTCTATCTATGTAAAAATATTCTGTGCTGAGTCAAAACTGAAATCTCAGTTCTCCCAAGAGTAAGACATTTTACATATCAGAATGTACTCTTTACTTGGCCGTGTATGTAGCCTTTGATAGAGCACACCAATTCTGTAAATTCTGCAGTACTTTCAGGTTTCTAATGGACTTTTTGTGGATCCCTGAACATAGTGTTATTTTGGTTTTCTGAATTATATACTATGTGTGCTATTAAAACACTGTATATTGTATAAGTATATAAAGGTGCTTACGTATTTTTCAAAGAGCTCTTTGTTGGGGCAAGGTAAGCAGTTCTAATACTGGGATAAATGATGATTAATATTGGAAAATAAAAGTAATAGTTTGTTGATATTACTCCTAGATTATTAAGATTCACTCAACCATTTATTTTATTCATTCATTCATTCATTCATTCATTCATTCATTCATACATTTGATGAATGTTAAACACCAAATACATGATTCACCAAGAAGAATGAAAAGGCTTAGGACAGGAATATAAAGACAGGAAACCACTGTAACACTGCAGCTTGAATTCTGGGAGGTAGTACTTTCAAATAATTCTTTATAATGGTAATAAATTTACTGGATCCACCCCACATTTATCAGGCCTTTCCTAGGTGGACTGACATCATCACTTAAATGGAAATCCCTGTCTTCATTTATTAGTTAAGGTACATTGCTCCTCGGGGAACAGATAAGCCTGTGACACAGTGGAGCAAAGTGTCTGGAATCTGATTTTCCAATGGACATTCCCATATGTTTGAACAAAAGAGTCATAAATACTAACTATAGCACCTATTTTACAGAAGCTGAACTAAAGACACAGAAGCCTTCAAATGGAAAGGATATACAACAGAAACCACAGCTGTGCGGAAGACCACCCAGGTACATGGTCGTGGGTGAAATGACTAGAAGATTAGAATCCTCTGGAGCCCAGAGCTCAACACATGGGTGTCTAGCTCCGAACAATTTTAAATCCCACAAATGACAGAGAATTTGGTTTTCAACTTTTTTATACGCGATTTTTTTTGTAACAGCTAACATTTCTTGCATACCCACATGGTAAGAGTTGTACTTTTTCTATCTTGATAATTGAGGGAAAAAAAAATTAAGCACGGGTGAATTCACAGGCATCTTACAATAAATCTGTGAACCACATCCTGATAATCACTGGAGTTAATGACGTCTAGGGCTTTTTCCACATCTGGAACTCTGTAATTCTTCTATAGCTTTGCTACCAATGACTTTTCCTTGAACGATGTATTGAATGAGGCACTCACTTCTCCCTGAGGCAGCTTATTTTGTTCTTCGTTGTCCATACTGTGAGAGCAAAGAGTAAAAAGAGATTCACCTTCTTCTAACTTTTATGTATTTGGCCATGTTCTACTTCTGAAATGACATAATCTAACCACAATTTCTTCCAGACAATGGCTTTCCATTACACTCCTTAAACCCAGAAAAGATGGGCAGCTTACAAGGTTATACAAACCACAGCAAAACAACATGTATCAGGAAAAGGGGAAGAGAAAGAAGGAAACAAGTAAAGCCAGGAAACCAGTTTCCAAATCCACTGTGTTTATGACCTCTATATATGCTATAGGGAGCCCACAGATGTAGCTTTAGATTTTCTAGCAGTCAACTGTCAGAGGAAAACCTTATCAGCTGGTTTAACATCCTTAAAGGCAACTTTCCTCAGGACAAGCATAAATGTGCCTGGTACTCAGATCAGACTTGAATAGTCACCATGGTTCCTTGTGGAAAAGTCTGTTGGGATGTCCTGAACCACAGGCATCACATTTCCTGTGTAACGATCACAATATAAACAAATGGCATGGTGGCAAAGTAGTATTTAGGAAAAGCAATTATTTGAAAGGCTAAAAATAGTAAGGTCTAGGTGCCCAGTTTCCTGCCGTAGATCTGACTACATCCTGGATTCTAGACTATTTGGAAGAGTATATCCAATGAATGCCATGTAAGCAATCTTCCTTGAATGTTGGGTTTTTGGGTGAGCTTTGGATAAATATTCATTAAGCTTTTGATTAAATATTAAATAAATCTGCACTTAACTCTGTGCCAGGAACTATTCTAAGTATTTTACACTTATTATCTCATTTAGTATGCACAATAGTTTTATACAGAGTTGCTCATATATACCCTATTTTAGAGATAAGGAAACCGAGAAAGATGAAAACCACAAGTAGTTTGTGAAGCCAGGGTTTGAACTTCACACATTCAACGCCACCCTTTTTAAATCACTGTGGAATTCCTTTAGCATTCAAGTTAGGTGAATATCCTTCTGTGAAAGTTTGGGATTTGAAGACAAAGGGCAATGATGAAATCAATTTATCTCTGCTGAGAAGCCAAAGCAATGGGAATGGACATAAGCTTGCAAAAGTGTATGGAGACTGGGGCAAAAAGACAGGGAGGGAAAGGAAGGCATACAGTTCAGTGCATCCTTTAGAAAATCACTTCTCTGTTCTTTTTTCAGCTTCTTCAAATTGCAAACTGTGGTGGTTTAAAATACGTTCATAAATTCTTTGACACTCTTTAAGATGGAGCCCAACTCCCTTCCCTTTGAGAGTGAGCTGGATCTAGTATCTCACTTCTAATGAATAAAGTGAGAGTGACAGGTGCAGCTTTGGGGATTTGGTCCTACAAGGCACTGTAGCTTCTCTCTGTTCTCTCTTTTGGACAACTTGCTCTGGGGAAAGCCAGCTGCCATCATGGGGACAAACAGCCTAAGACAAGGGCCATGTGGTGAGGAACTGTGGCCTTCTGACAACAGCCAGTGAGGAACTGAGGACTTTTTTTGCCAACAGTCATGTGAATGAGCTACCTTGGAAGTAGATCTTCCAGCCCCAGTTAAGCCTCCAGATAACTGTGACCCTGCTAAACTGCAAACTCAGGAGGAACCCTGAGCCAGAACTACCCAGCAAAGCCACTCACGGGTGATTCCTGACTCTCAGAAACTGTGAGATGATACATTTCTATCATGTTAAATTGTTAGAATTTGGAGTTGCTATGCAGTCATAGATAACTAATACACAAACCAACAAACACACCTCCAAAACCAACAAATCGAAACAAATTAAGATAAATTAAGAATACGCTACCTACAATTGCCAAAGGACAAAGAAACCTTGAGAACATAACTATCCTCCTTTAAGTAAAGTTGCCTGCAGACTCTTTTAATCCAAAGACATTACAGCATTTTGATTCACTTCTAAAATAATTTGTCATGATTTGCAGCTTAAGTATGTATGTTATTTACTTATAATTTACTTGTATAAAAAAGGGAAGATAAAGATATTCAAGATTTCACATTACATAAACCCTTCAACATTCTTAAAGCAAGGTCAACAACCAAATGCAAAAGATGGGCCAGCAAAAGTCTCTACCTCCTAAGAAAAGTTAAAATCTTAAAATCCAGCTTTAGAGGATGGAACCACAGTAGGCAATTAGCAGGCAGAAGCACATAATTTAGCCAGTAGTTAAAAACAATTCATTAAAAGCTCATTTTAAAAGACAACATTTGCTAGCATTCTGATCCCAGAGGTTGGCAACCTGCTGAGGCCACACACAATCATTGCAGATAATTCAGCACATGATAATGACTAAGGCTGGAGAGTGTGTCCTGATTTCCATCGTCTCCAGGGAGAGTAAACACTTGAGTTTTCATTCTAATGCAATCACGATTATGAATCCAGAGGTATTTCTTTCCACTTAGGCACCATGGTATCTCATTATTTTTCAACTTCCACTTCCTCTACTCCATTGCTCAACCCAGGATTTTATGAGCCCCACTGCATGACATACAGGAAGCTTTACTAAGGGGAACCAATGCTAATTTATTTCTAGATGACTTACAGTGCTCAGCCCCAAATCAAGACTGGCTAATACAACTCTGCTATCTGTGCTCCTTCTTGCACAAAACTCCTCATGAAGTTGCAATTTTAAAAGAAATGTTTCTCATCAAAATTCAATAGACTTTTATATGCACATACACTTTCTCACTTTTCCAGGCTGCATGAAATTTAATATCAGGATTATTATCCATTTGTCATTTTAACCTATAATTTAGTAAGCCTTTTTGTGTTTGAGTTATGCTTCTTCCCCCCTTGAGCCATCAGCTTGCAGCCATAGATTCATTTGAAAAGCCGGCCAGGTCACATGGTTTGACCTCTTAGAACAAACATTTTCCACATTTCTTATTCTGCTTCCATAAGAGACACCATTAGTTTTGTTCATCTCTACTTAAAATGATTTTTATGACATAATAACATTTCAAGTTTTCCACATTAACCTTCATTTTATTTCTTGAAATACTCAGGCAAACAATGTCACTAAGACGTCACTGATGGAGAATTCTTTCTCCTTCACTCCTGTCTACTTAAAGGCAACTCTGAAGAAAGAATAAATTTTTGCTCTGCATCAGCTGAGTGCTGGGAGAAAAGTTTAAAAGTCTGGCCTAGTGGCTCACAGCATCTTAAAGTAAATACTTCCATAAGCAACCAAAGCAGAAAATCTTCATATAACTGTTTTCACCAAAATAAATACATAAATTTTCAAATCTGGAGTCCTATAAAGGAATTTAAAATCTATTTTCTTATATGTAAGTTCAAAGATGTCTAAGTCCAAAGGGAAAATGAAAATAAAATAAAAATATAATCCCAGCCCATGTGCAAAAGCAAACAAGGACAGGAACACACCGCTCCAGGGGTGTGGGCAGTACTCACCCCACAGCCCAGGCCATTGCCCCCTTCGCAGGTGACTTTCCTCTGGTCAGGCTCCGGCAGCAGCCCCGCTCCACAGCCAGGGCGGGGGCATAACACGCCCCCCATCTGCAGGACACACTCCTCTGCACCATACTGCTGGTACCGGTTGTACTGCAAAACCCAAAAAGCAGATTGAGCTTTCAAACTGACTGCAAATTTCAGCCAAAGGGTTAGGAGCTACAGTGCATGGGATTTCTTGCTTAACCAGTTTCAGTAAAATAATGCATGTGTGTGTGTGTGTGTGTGTGTAGGGGGAGGGAGAGGGCCACGGGGTTGATAGGGGAGGACGAATATGGTTCAATGCAGTAAAAGTCTACCAAATTCAACTGGCAAGACATATAAGTGTGTTTACTTTTTGCTTTTTTGTCTTCAGAAAATAGATTTTCCAAAGTTTTGTATTTTATAAGATCGCTTCTACCAACTGTATTTTAACAATCTTATTTCATATACATTTTGAGGAACATATTTATGTATTAAATGATGAACACTTTTAATACATCGCTATCAATCTTATAAAGCAATATATTGTCATGCCTCTATTTAAAATTCAACAAGGTTTTATATTTATTTTGAAAATCGGCCCAGCATTCCACCTCATAATATTGGCAGCCCACACAATATCAATGAGCTAGAAGAAGACTAATGTTAAACAATCACATTTTCCCTTTATCATTATTCTTATTCTTAAAGCATGATTTCTTGTGTCCCTGATGTCATTTCTTCCTGGTACCGTTTTGCTCAATTTCCTTTAATGGTTTCCCCAGCCTGCAAATAAATTCCAAACTCCATCAGACCATTTTCAAGGTCTTCTTTGTGGCAGCCCTACACTTTTGATCTTACATTATTTGTAATATAAACTCAGATCAAGTCAAATAGGTTTGCTCAATTATTAATTAAATAATGCAACATTTATTGAGAGCCTACTACATTCCAGACTCTATCGAGGCGCTGGGGATACAGCAGTGAATGAACAAACTTCTCCGCCTTCATCCACAGCACTGTAACAGTCAATACCGAGAGGTTAGAATGTCTAGGATTTCCAATGGTGCTAAGTGAGGAAGAAAATAATCAACAGGGAAGAGGGAGAGTCCAAAGAAGGTGGAGATTTCAATTTTAAAGAGGTGATTACAGAATGCCTTACAAAGCAGGTGTCTTTAAGCAAATGTCTGAAGGAGATTAGAAATGCAAGTCACATGGATCCCTGGGGGAATAAGCATTCCAGACAAGCAGAGAATACTATAAGGGGCCAGAGCCCCAGTGTGCTGATGTGGTTGGCTGTTCAGGGTACAACAAGGGGGGCAGTGGGGCGGAGGCAGAGAGAACAAGGAGGGAAAAAAACAGAAGGTGAAGTTGGAGAGTTTGTGAGGATCTAGAATATGTAGTTCCCTGACAGCTGCTTTCAGAACCCTGGGTGTTATTCTGGAAGATACCAGAACCACTGCAGAACTCTGAGGCTGAGGCATGACATAATTTGACTAATATTTTAAAGACATCCACCTGGCTGCTATGTTCGGAATACCCTCTGGAGGGCCAGGGTGTAGGCAGGAAGCAGAGAAGCTTATGTCAACATCTATGACGTAAGCTAGGAGCTTATGTCAACATCTATGCAAAAGATGGCACTGGCTTGAACCGGGAAGGTAGTGCTGGAGGTAGGATGAGTGTTTGAATTCTGGGTATAAATTAAAGGGAGAAGTTGCAGAATTTTCAGTCAGGTTGGATGCCTGGTGTGAGAGGAAAAGAGGAGTCAACTGTGAGTGGAGTGTAGTTCCCCGTTTCCTGAGAAGACAGGAGGCGGGTAGGGGTGGGGACAACTGTGGTAGAAGAAAGGGTATGTGTGTGTGTGCACGTGTGTGTGTGTGTGTGTGTGTGTAGGGAGTTGAGGCATGAAATAATTATTTCTATTGTGCTCGTGTTCAGTTTGATAAGCTATTACACAGCGATGTCAAAATGTCCAGTATCTAATTGAATAAATAAGTGTAGTTTAGGAGAAAGGCATGGGTCCTGGGTACAAATTTTGAAGTCATTAGCCTGAGCCTCTAATCCATTTTCTCATTCTTCTGTCCCCAGGAAAGAAAGAAAAAGATGACCTGGCCTCCTTGTAAACGTGTGAATGGCATACACATACAGCACCTTTACCAGAAAAGAGGTCTAAGAGTTCGGATGGCAAACAAACTAGAATCTCTGAATTTATGGGGTAAGGTTCTCTGGACAGTGTCATAAGCTGTGCAATTACCAGAGGATACAATGAAGATATTTCATCAGGTAATGAATGATGAGACAGTTTATGTAACTGAGAGATTGCCTGTGAGTGATTACTGCATAGATTTCTTAGAGGCTTCATACATAACCCTTGCCCACAGCACAGCCCCAAATGCCAAGGAAGGACCTGGGGAGGCGCGCTGGCGACCTGAACGTCTCCAGGTCCTGCCTGAGTCTCAGGATTACCTGCATCCTTGAAATTATTCGTAAAGCTCGACACTAGGTTAGATCTATGACACTCTGACCATGTTATGAGGTCAGATGTGATTATCCAACCTCTGCAGGGAAGGTGAGAAAACACCAGCAAAGGAGACTAAGGAGCAGCAGCCTATGAGGCAGGTGAAAACTGAGGAGGACTCAGGTGTCCCGAAAGCCAAGGGAACACATCTCAAGGAGGCTGCCATGATGAGCTGTGGTTGGAGCTGGGTGTGTGGCTGCCATTGCGGTCTTGAAAAGTCATTTCAGTGGAGTCATGGAGCCAAAAGCCTTTGGAGTGGAGTCCAGAAAGACTCGGAGGAGAGAAATTCAAAGAAGTGAGAATAGACACTTTTTTAAAGGAGTTTGCCAGTAAAAGGGAGCAGAGATCGGGGAGGCCATTGGATAGGACTCTGGGGTTGTAAAGGATTTTCGAAAATGGAGAAATAACGATATGATACTATGCTGAAGGCAGGACTGAGACGAGAAGCGCAGATGGACAGTTTAAGCCAGAGAAAGAGCTCTGTCCTTGAGTAGGTTGGAGGGGAGGATCTAAAGGATGTGTGGAGGGTTGGCCTTCAGAGAGCAGGCAGCCATCCTTAGGAAGAGGAGGCCCGGCTGAGTGCTTAGGCCCAGGTGCAGACAGGCAGAGGGGTACTGGGATTTGAGGAAGAAGAAACGTATGAGTGATGAAGGAAGGGGAGGGCGGAGGAAGTCGGTATCACTGCTGGGCGGCACCCAGGCCCTCCTGAGGTCAGAGATGATGAATTTAAAGGAAAACTCGTGAGCAGAGTCTTCTGTTTCTCTGCACCAACACTGAGCTGCAAAGGCAAAGTAGAAAGAATGGTGGATTTAAGTTTGGTTGCAGTTTTGCCGGAATTGTAAAAGGAAGCGGGACATCTCTCGATCACCTCTGCCTATGACTGTGAATGATCTCACGGTGATCCTCCAAGCCCCTCTCCCTCAGCTCTGTTCACCTCCGCCTATGACTGTGAATGATCTCACGGTGATCCTCCAAGCCCCTCTCCCTCAGCTCTGTTCACCTCCACCTATGACTGTGAATGATCTCACGGTGATCCTCCAAGCCTCTCTCCCTCAGCTCTGTTCACCTCCGCCTATGACTGTGAATGATCTCACGGTGATCCTCCAAGCCCCTCTCCCTCAGCTCTGCATCACCGAACTGCTCAACCTACTTTTTTGTCTTGACCTGTCCAAATCCTTCCACATTGAAAAAAAACAAAAACAAAAAACAAAAAACAAAAAACTTTTTATTGTAAATATCACATAGAATAAGCTTAATACATTATAAAGTGACCAACTTTTTAAACACTACCCAGGCCAAGACACAGAACTTTACCAGGTCCGCCTGAAGCCCTCCATGTATCTATTCTCATCACAACACCTTCACCCCTTCCTAAAAGACACCATGGTTTTGTTGTTGTTTTTGTTTTTTGTTTTTTTTTTTTAGACGGAGTCTCGTTGTTACGCGGCTGGAGTACAGTGGCGCAATCTCGGCTCACTGCAACCTTCATCTCTTGGGTTCAAGCGATTCTCCTGCCTCAGCCTCCCGAGTAGCTGGGACTACAGGTGTGTACCACCACACCCAGCTAGCTTTTGTATTTTTAGTAGAGACGGGGTTTCACCATGTTGGCCAGGATGATCTCGATCTCCTGACCTCGTGATCTGCCTGCCTCAGCCTCCCAAAGTTGTAATCACTCTCTTGTTTTTCTTTATCACTCAAGGTTCATTTCTAAACACTACAGTTCATTTTGTCTGTTTTGAAGATGTGTTGTTTAGTCCATCACCCTCCATTGTCTTTTTTTCCTTGCAATTTATCTGTTGAAGAAAGCAGGACATGTGACCTACAGAGTTTCCCAGTCTTCATTTTGCTGATTGTATCCAATGTTGCAGTTTATAATGCACCTGGATAATTTTTTTCCTATAAATTGATAATTGGTCTATAGGCTTCATTTAATTCAGCTTCTTTCCTTCCTTCTTTCCTCTCTCCCTACCCCCTCTCTTTTCCTCCTTTTTTCCTTCCTCCTTCATTCTCATCCCTTCCTCCTTTTTTGGTCCCTCCCTCTATCTCTCTGTCCTCCTTTCTCCTCTTCCTTCTTTCTGTCTCTCTGTAATACTACTTCATAGATGGTGTTTTGTACTTCTATCAGGAAGATCATAATGTCTTTCTCTCTTCTTGAAAGCTTAGCAGTCATTAATATTCAGTAACTAGATTAATTTATTGGGATTGAAAAATGATATTTTAATTCAAACATTCCTTCATTTATTAGTTAGAATACTTCTATTTTTTGGTTATCCAGTGGTATTGTATGAATAGGAAAGGCAGGATAAAATATTTGAATCTTTTTTTTCAATGAACATTTATAAACTCATAAACTTAAACATATTATGTGTTAAGTGTGTTTTAACTCAATGCAGTGATTTCCTTCTTGATGCACAACTATCTCATCTCTGGCCAATGGCAATCCTATCAAGATGAGTTTCCATAACATGATCCTGACACCATTCAATAGCTTCCTCGCTATCTGCTATGGAAAATTACTCAGGTTCATCTTACACGTTTCCTGCTCCAGGCCAGGAATTGCCTACTTTTAAAAGAAGCACTGCTTCTTAAAAATTTCAAGACCATAAATTGGGTGCTAGGCATGTTCAGTGCTCCTAAGTTAGTCATTGTTTCTAAGTCCTCTCAGTTCTCACTTTGAAGGACAGGTATCTCAGAACTACAAGGTTTTTACTTAACATTTTCTGTTTTACCTCTGTTGCTCCTTTCTTCCACACTGGTTCTCAAGAACACAGAAGATGACATAATTACAATATTCCATAATTGCTCATTTGCTTTTTCTCACATTACACAATTTCAGAATAACAATACCATCACTGTGCCTATGATTTCTGAAAACTTCAAATATGTTTTCATATGCTCTACTCATTCTCCCACAAAATTTTTAAAATAATTATACTGTATCCACACTGTTAACACATGCGGCCATTTCGAACTATGCTGTCTTTCTCTTAACCTTCATGTTATCTTACTTCTATACACACACACACACACACACACACACACGCATGCAGGCACAACCATCAGTACTTATGTTGATGGTTGATGTTTTCCCAGTAATTTTGATTGCTTGAATCTTGTTCTCTAGTAAATTCCTCAGGAAGAGTTCCTGGGAAATACAGTCACTGAGTTCTTCCATAGTAACAGTTTATTTAGGGCTTTTATTCTTGATAATGAGTTTGGCTGCATAAAAAATCTTTATATTATACATAAAAAGAATATATGGAATTATAGTTTCTTACAGTATACATATAAGGAATATACAATCCTGATATACATACAGGGATTGTGTGTGTGTGTGTGTGTGTGTATATATATATATATATATACATACACACTTATATTTATACATACTTCCCCCTTGAGTATCTGAAATCTCTTACTTCATGTTCTTCTGGTATAAAATATTATGGATAAGCCTGAAAATAATGTTTTTTTCCTTTGTAAATTAATTGCCCTCTTTTGCCTAGATGCCCAAGGAATTTTTTCCATTTCTTTAGAATCCAGGAATTTTGTTAGAGTATATCTTGGTGCTGGTCATTTCTGGATCAATTTTCACAAGCATACTGTGTCAGGAAAGTTGTACTGAATTTAGTTTTTAGGGTTCACTTTGTTCAGTTGCTTTGATGTTTTTCTTATGTCATTTCTAGTATACATATATTGGATCTTCTTTACCTCACTTCTAATTCCAACAGCTTATCTCAAATCCCTTTTTAATTTTCTTATTTGTGTTTTTTAGAATTTCCTTCACTTTTCATTTTCTATTTCTTTTAAGACAATATCTATTATATGTATTTGTGTAATTTCCTAATAATTTCCTAATAACTTGGTTCACCTTGAAAAGGTTATTTTGGCTTTCCTTTGATTTGAGGCATTCTTCCATTGTCCATAAGGATGCTATTTTGTTCTACATTCGCTGCATCATTTTAATAGCCCTGTACGGGACTGAACCTTGCTTCTTTTCTGTTAGAGTTTTACCTTGTTCCTTTGCTGTTGCTCAGTTTTACATGAAATTAGTTCTCCTGAAATTTTACAAAGAGGTAGGATTCAGAAAAACTGTAGACTTTTCTGTTCTGGTGTTTTAGGCAGTGTTCAAAAATATGGGGGCTTCCTTTCTGCAATCTCACAACTCTGTTACCCCATTTTTAACCGGACTATCTCCTTCCTTTTTTTCTCTTCTATTTTGAGCAAATTTCTGCTCAGTGTGGGGCTTTGTCCTGAGGAGGGCCTTTGCCTGGGTAAATCTGGTGAGTGCATGAGACCTAAAGTGCTCCAAGCCCTTTAAACCTTATTACAGACTTTTGCACTCATTCCTCTATCCTTTTGTGCATCCACATGGCCTGAGTTTGGCATAGTATCTTGTCAATAGTTTGTGGACAGTAAATAATTATAAATTAATAAAATCTAACTCCATTAAGTGACAATTAATTAAATAATTCTAATAAGATAATCAATAGCAATGGAAATTAATAACAGTAACTCAGGATTATTTTACCTACAAAAATAATTTTTTAAAATAAGTTGCTCTTAAGTAATTGACTATTTTCTCATTTGACAACACATCACCTAGTCTATTTAATTTAGTTAGGTAATTTTATTACTATGACAATAGCTTTTATCTCGGAAGAAGTTAATGTATGGACAACGTCCAATAACAATTTAGAAATTCTTGTTGACTGCATTCATAGTGGTCTCAAATATTGATGGAATTTTAAAAATTATGTCCCCCTTTCCATTCATTAGCTAGGGAATTTATTAAAAATTATTGTTATTTATTTTGTTTATGATAAACTCAAGAGCATTTGAGCATACAATTCCTTTTTCAAAGGAAGACAAATATTTTAACATATGCGCCTGGGAATTTCTGATGATTAAAAAGTACACACAATACCTGAAATATGCCTATTGAAAGTATTACTTTTCAAAATTAACATTGTGATATTTATAAGAAAAACACTGACCTGGAACAAAGAATGTGCTAGTATTTGTAGAAAGCTTAATATACTAAGGAAATAATTTAGTCATGTAATTACATATCATTAGCAAAGATCCTTACTAAGTTACCTTCGAGATATAATCCACAGTTTTCATAGATCCTTTTAACCATTTACTGGCACGAAGTTGAAAGCGCATTAATGGAGATTTGTGACAAACTAGCACTAATACAGAATACTGTATTTATCTCAGTATAAAATATGTGTGATAATGGTAAAGTAACTAATAAATCTACCCCAGTTGGTGGAAGGGAACAAACACTTCCCTTGATATTCTTGTATTGGTTCCAAGGGCTTTTTTACTTATCAATATTGAATAGCATTTTATAAACAGACTAACTTGGAGGAATGTGATTAATTTATAATGTGAACTGGGTTTATATAGAGTCCACCCTCAACTGAGCTCAAAAGTGGAAAAATCACTCATGCATGTTTTGTCTATGGAATGCACAGTGAGCATCTGTGTGTGTGTAGATATGCTAATATTTACATGTCAAACTATACTGACAGTTTTAAGCTATTAAAAATAGTTTGCAAATTTCTAGATATGCTTTCATAAAGTGAATAATCCACAGACAACTAAAATAATTTTGAATTTATTGTACAATATTTGCAAAAATATTTGAAAATAAATGTAAATATTCACAAAGAATACTACTCTGAACCTAAGGAAAACAATAACTGTTTTTCTCCTGTATTTTATCAGATTATAGCAAAAAATACATTTCATTAGTATGCGTTATGCAGGTAGAATCCTGACTCACTGCTATACTTTCTATTTTATTTCTTTGGGGAGTAAATTATTCAGTCTTTATGTGAATGCTCATGGATTCTCTTAAGAACAAAAAGTATTCATTTTAAAGCATAAAATTCATAGAAGTTTCAATAAACTCGTATTTTAAGAATTTAAATAATGGGTCATGGGAGAGTATAATGAAATAGATATTGTATTCTGTTAGTCTGCAGGTTAGGAGACCTGTATTTGGGTAGAAAAGTGTTCTATAATGAAGGAACGGTTGCACGTTCAAGCCCCAGAAGGGCCAGTGAACTTCCCCTTTCTTGCTGGCTGTTGACTGCATGTTAAGTACATTAAAGGAACATGGGTAGTCACCTGAGAAGTGTGGCTATGGGGAAACCAAGCGTAAACATCCCCCACCACTGAAACACCATCCAAAAGGCCTCTCCTCTGTAGGAGAGAACAGGCTGCTTCACTCTGATGCTTAATTTGCATGCTTTCATAGAAAAAGAAGAAAAGAATCTAATTTTAAAAACTACAAGAAATGTGAAGTACAGGGATCCGAGGTAAAACTCAAGTCTGAGAAAAATGGCACATGTTCTGTCAAAATGAGTCAATGCTTGCCAGCCATCCAGGAGCTATGTGGCCCCCTTTCAGGTCCTCCAAGCTAAGGAGGTTGATTTTGTGCTGTCATAGTGTTTCCCAGAGTATCCTTTTGGGGGCACTCAGGTACAGCTCTTGGGTCTCCTTTGCTTCCCCACACCACTCCATAAATTATAGCTTTTGTTACATCTCAGCCAAAAGCACTTCGGGGACTCCCTCCCTGGGCTTCTCCCTCAATCCCTCCTAGAGCAGAGGGGTCGTGATCAGGCTTCTGTTCACTGAGCTACTGCAGTGAACCAAACCACGGCACCGACACTTTGCTGCTCGGTTAATTCTCTGTCCACTCTGTGAAGTGATGGATGTGGCCTCGGAGCCACAAAGAAGTGCCATCTTTTGCTGACATCCACACAGGCAGAGAACCCACAGTGCTGCATTAGAACTAAGGCTGAAACTTTCAAGACCACGCTTTCCACAATACCCAGCTGCCTCTTTCTCTTATTCCCTTCTATTAAAAAAAATTCAGTCAGGTATAGTGACTCATGTCTGTAATCCAAGCACTTTGGGAGGCTGACGTGGGAGGATCGTTTGAGACCAGGAGTTTGAGGCCAGCCTAGGCAACACAGCAAGACCCCATTTCGACAAAAAATTAAAAAAAAATTACCTGGGCATGGTGGCATGTACCTGTAGTCCCAGCTACTCAGGAGGCTGAGGTGAGAGGATCATTTGAGCCTAGAAGTTCAAGGCTTCAGTGAGCTGTGATCACACCACTGCACTCTAGCTTGGGCAACAGAATGAGACTTTCTCAAAAAAAAAAAAAAGAAAATTCAGCTCACTATTCCTCTGCCATCTTTTAGAAACTAATGAAAAATAGTTTATTATAGAACTTCCTCTTTGGATTAAAAAAACTATAATAACGTCAGAGAGGAACATCAGCTTATGATTTAGCCATTTCTCCTTGCTATGCAGATAATGTCCCATTTTCTATACGCATTAGAAATTTTTTTCAAAAAAGAAGCACTCCTTAGATTGTCAGTAATCTTCATCTTCCTTTTTTTTTCATTTGCAGGTAGTTAGCCTGAGAGCATCTGTGACAGCCTAAGTGGTGGCCCCCATGACCCTGCTGTTTTTCTTCTCTATTCTGTTGCTAATAATGTTTTCTTCATCCCTGAACATCTGTCAGCTACTGATGAAGTGAATTGGCTAGAGAAAGGGCTGGACCTTGTTAATTGCATAGAAAAAACTATCAAGATGGCTGAAATCAAATGCAAAGAGGCAACATCAAACAAGACCTAAAAAAAAAAAAAAAAACCAGTAAACAAAAAAAACAAGCAACAGATCATATCCGGAAGCACAGTTTAAGAAGTTTTTGGTTTTTTTTTTTCCAGATATTTCAGGTGACCCAATGCCAAAAAGCATCTCATCTTCTAGTAGTTGTGGAATCTTCTGGAAAAGAGATCCAAATCAACTGGCTTCCTTGTCCCCTCTCCATGTGTGACACGGAGCAGCACCCACTTCCAGTGTAGCTCCCCTTTCAGGGGAGGGCTACAAAGGCTGTTTTCCTCACAAGAGTTCCTACAGCTGATGTGACTTCAGAGACTCCTGTAGACTATGGAAACAGGGTGGTGAAGCGTCTCCTGATGGAGCGCACTGCAGAAAGCAGGGTTGTCTGTGGCTGTAAATTATTTCACTCTTTGCTCTCATCCCAGAGAAACAGTGTTAGGGTAGCACCTAAATCTGCAAATCCAAGAGCCTTGCCCCTCAGATAAATGAGCGTTGCCTCTGCCTTCCTTGAAAGGAGCTGGGGCACAGGTCACTGCCACCATCCTCCTTCCTGGCTCCCTAGTCTTTTTCTTTCCCTGAATTCAGTATTTTCACCTCTCTTCTTTCTGCTTATTCTCTAGAAGCTCTTTGTCCAGTCCTGAAGCAACTGCGATGGTTTCTAGGTGATTCTGAGGGAAGGGTGACATGTCATTGTCTGGAAGTTTTGTGTAAGGCTACGGGTGGGGCAGTGAAATGGGTTAGCTCCACTGAGCATTTAATGATCTAATTAGAACTTGGATGAACCAAAATATTTTTTAAAATCATGTGGATTGTATTAGATGGCTTCATATTTATAACTATCTGAAATGGACAAGCCTCTAACACTGAGGAAGCCTTTTGGGGTGAAAGCCGAGAAGCTGCCTTAATGCCAAGGCACACCTGAGCACAGGTAACAACAGCCAGGTGCTCTGGATGTCCACCTACGTCCCTCCAAAGATCATCACAATGCATCCCTCATGCCCCACATCATTGCTTCAGAGGCTCAAGCTGCCTGTCATTCTTATCACCCAAACTGTCAGTCCCATATGGGTCCATACGTTTCCTAATATCAGCCAATTTCCATGCTTCCCTCTCTCCTAAGCCTTTTTTCTGTGTCCCCTGAAATTCCTGTTCATGATAAACTAACTGCCCTGTATAATCAGCCTTTTGAAAGGTTTCCCTGTCCACACTGACTTAACTGAAACTGATCCATCTCCCTTGCAACCTTTTCAAGTGAAGGCTGCTTTTCATTTCATATTCACATCTTTCAAGGCCAGAGGTGAAGATGGTTGTCCCTTGGCTCCTTAACGACGCCCCCAAATGCTTGGGTTCCTCTCCCTTGCAAAACCCACCACTCCTTTGAGACCCATGCTTCACCCTCACCTCCTCACTGCTGCCCCCTGATCTCCTGGATGCAGCCCCTCATTCTTGAAGACTGTAGCTTCAGGCTGTTCTCACCTTTTCTCCGATTCTTGTCATCATTCTGGGGACTTGAACTCCTGTATGAATAAGCCACCATCAATCTATTCTTTCTGTTTTACCTTCTCATCCTGCTGACCTTTTTCTCATCCTTCTATTCGCACGGTCCATCCCCAGGCTCTGTCATCCTGAGAAACTGTACCACCTCTGAAATCCCAATTCCAAATATGTCTCTTTCTGATGATCACCTCTTATCTTTCCAAATCTCTTGCTAAAGTATGAACATTGCTTAAATTCTTCAACTTCATCAAGACGTCTAATTAATTGGCCCCATATTTCCTCTCCAGCCATGGGCCTCTCCAGGCCCACCTTCCTTCCTGGTCTGACAGCTTCTGTCATCTACCACCAGAAGCATTGCCTGGAAAACACAGATTTCCGTGGTCTTCTTTATCTGATGGCAAAATTCCACGCCTGGAAAACATCACCTCCACCTTCCCTGGGCGTGTAGCCCTGCAGCTGGACACAATGGCACGATGACTTTCTCTTAAATAATGGACCACAAACTTCAAATGGGCATTTACAACTTCCTCAAGATTGTATTGTGTTTCTCCAGTGACATGTTCTCTCTTCTTTCTTCCCCTCAACCCGCCGAAAAAAGGGGTGAAATAAAAAAGATGAAATGAGGATAGTTACAAAAGCATAGGAGATAGAAGTTTTCACATAGCAAGGGTAAGAAATATTTTTATAAATGTTGGTAATAGTTATGATAATTAGTAGAATTAGGATAACAGTGAAGTAGTTATAGAAGAAAATGAATTTATTACTTTTATCTGGAGTTGCACCAATTTTTTGGTTCCTAAGACCAATGTAGGTAGGACCTGCCTCTCTCCAGCCATCCATACTTTATATTTCACTGAGGAGAGAGGAATCATGGCTGATGTCCTGATGTGCTCAACAGATGTTTCCTAAGCACACTCTAAGTGTCAAGTACTCTTCTATGTGGAAGACGCAGCAGTGAAAAATGACATCTTCCTTCGTGGAGCCATCATACTGCATCTCTCCTCTTCACATCCCTGCAACTATGAACACACCTGCACCTGCACTCACCCTCTCCAGCCCCTCTCACAACACAAAAAGTGGCCTTCCTCCTGTTAGGGGCCGATTCCTCCCTCTCTGCTGGATCTGAGCCCTTCTTGCCTTCCAAAGTACTTCCCTTCTTCAGTTCTTGGATCTCTCTCTCAAATTACCGGTAATTCATCTCTGTGGAATCCTTCCTGTGAGTGTAAAACAAGTTCTGGCCCTTCGATCTTTAAAGAACTGTCTTGTGGTTGCTGCATTTCTCTTTCTCTTCATAGCAAACCCTCTAGAAGGAATTATCCTCCCCTTCTGTTCACTCTTCATCCCATAAAACTCTGGCTCCTGTCTTTACGCATCCCCCAAAACTGCTCATTATGGTCATTCGTGACTTTTGCCACAGTGTCACAGGCGAAGGACGCTCCCTGACCTCATCTTCTGCAAACTCTCAGTAGCATTCAACACAAATCACCATTCCTCCTCTGGAAGGCCCGCCTTCTCAGCTTCCCCAACACCATAAATCAGCATTCCTCCTCTGGAAGCCCCACCTTCTCAGCTTCCCAAACACCATAAATCAGCATTCCTCCTCTGGAAGCCCCGCCTTCTTGGCTTCCCCAACACCATAAATCAGCATTTCTCCTCTGGAAGGCCTGCCTTCTCGGCTTCCTCAACACCATAAATCGCCATTCTCCTCTGGAGGACCCGCCTTCTTGGCTTCCTCAACACCACAAATTGCCATTCCTCCTCCGGAAGGCCCGCCTACTTGCCTTCTCAGCTTCCTCAACACCATATGGCCCTGGATTGTCTTCTACTTTCCTTGAGGTTCCTTCTTGGTCTCCTTTGTTGGTTGCTGCTCTTTACCCAATTTCCAAACACTGGTGTTCCTTACGGTTCATCCAATCACGGTCTCTCCTTTCTTGGCTTCTTCTGAGAATCCCCATGGGTTTAAAATTTCCTCTACATGCTGGTAATTCCAAAGTTATCTCTCCATCTCGGACCTCAGGTCTCACTGTCCTCCAAGCTCTCACTCACACATCCAAGTCCCGACTTATCTCCTTCTCCATGCTTCAGGCATAGCAAATGTGTTCAGAATTGAAGCTCAGATCCCATGCCTCTGATCTCACCTGCCCCATTTTGCTCATCTCAGTCAAATAGAACTTTCAAACTCCTTCCTTTCCCTGACCCACAGCCAGTCAGTCACCAAGTCCTTGAATTCTGCCTCTCAAGATTCACTTCTTTTTGTCTCCGCTGCCAACTGTCTTAATCCAGAGCCTCTCCATATTGCAACAAGATTGACATACTCAAAATGTAATTTGGATAATGCTAACCCCTTGCTTAAACCTTCAAGGATTTCCCACTAAACTCAGAACAAAACCCATATGCTTAACCCTGGTGTCCTTGGTCCAGGTGGCCTTCATCTTTTGGCACTGTCCTTCCTGCTCAGTATTTTCCAGCCACCTTGGTTTAATTTAGTGTCTTGAATAAAGCAAGCTCTTCACCTCCTTGGGGGCACTGGATGTGTGCTTTCCTCTGCTTGGGATGCTCTTCTGCCCACTCCCATAATGCTAGCTCCTTCAATAGCTGGTGTCCCCTCAACGCTTAGTCTCAGGGCTCCTCAACTACCCCTCATCTAAAGTAGGTGACATCCCTATTTGTTTTCATCCTAGCATCAATTATGATCAGTAACTGTGACTTCCTCATTTACTATTTTATCCAACACTAGCACAATAATAGTACAAGAAAGTATTCAATACATTTTTGTTGAATGGATAAAGGTTATTTCCATAAAATTTCAGTGATTAAACCTAAGGTGGAGGAAGCTGGTATAAATGGAGGTACTTCTGAAATGCAATTGGTTCAAAGGCCCTACAAACCTATTGACTCCAGACATCATACCTGATTTCTGAAGGGCTCACCTGGAACTGCAGAGTGACTTTAGTTTCCTACAATGTGATAATGTCTTTGCCAAAGAATTTGGACTAGGGGGAAGGAGTGTTGAAAGGTGCTATATGAATATGAATTGTGAACACAAATCAGAGAAGGGGCTAAGAAGCTAATATAAATGTATTATTTTAAGGAGTTTATTTTTATTTTGGGAAGGCAGTGATACATAGTGTTTAATTTTTAATCCAAATCTAAAAAATCAAGATACCTACTAAAGATCAACGAAAACAGAAAGGAACCACATACAAAGAAATTAGAGGTCTGCTGTGGGTCTCTGCCATACAGTAATGAATTAGTAATTAACCAGCATTTTTGTAGGTTTTATCAACTCACTTTCTAAGTGAGTATTACGCTTACTTTACTGTCTATTTTGTTGCCACTATGTAAAGCTGGAATATAAACAGCATTTAAAATCAGAGGAATTTTAGTATAGCACAATATTTGCAACTTACTTGGCAACCTATTTATTTACAAATATTCTAAGAGATGATTGAGCTTCACTCTCCCTTGTCTACAAAAAGCTAAGTTAGAGAAACAAAAATGATTTGTCCAAGGATGCTTGTAACAGACATTAATATAAACATTTTATTTTATCAAGTGATAACAGTTGCCTCAAGCATCCAGTGAGATCCCAAGAGTTTCACCAGCTCCTGGAGCAGTTGCCCCCACCGCTGGCAGGAATGCTGGGACAAGAGCTCTCTGCTTCCTCTCGGGAGCCTCATTGCCACCATCTGCCTAGAGGCCAGTAGGTCTTGTCATGAATAATCAGGATATAAACGTCCCTGACTGATATGCCCTGTTCACGACAGTCACCAAAGAATGCCTGACTCCTGTTCCATCTCTCCAGGCTGAGCCCCAAGCTCCACATCCACTCTGTGTATCCTTTTTCCTACCACATATTCCAGCTGCCCCAAACCCTGAGACCCTTCCCCCATGCTTGGGGAACTCATGGGCAATCAGCAGTAACTGCCCTATGACTGCAATCTGCTTTCTCAATGTTTTTCTTACATTCTTCCCTAACTGAAACAGGCGTGTCCCTGAGGACACTACTTCGCCTGCAGCACCCTCAAATGTTTTTGTGTCTGCAATCCCAGTACCACAAAGCATTGCTCTACAGTGTTGTAAGTAAAACATTTTCCCTTTCTCCTTCTAAAGCCCTCCAACTTTCCATTTCAACCCATCAGCCTACACCATGCACTATTTCCCCTTCTGCTGTCAGCTACTGACATCCATTTCTCTCTCTCTCTCTCATTTCTCAAATCTTCAGTTTGCAATTCTGGAAGATCTCAGCGTGCACAGGGGTGGTACTCCCAACTCTCCGACTTCCCAATTCCATGACCTCAACTTCTCTCGTCACCTTGTCCTCCATCTGAAATCAGACACACAGCCTCCCTAGGCCTCCTCTGACCTCGTCGGTGCTGACCATGCAGCTCCTCCACAAGCTCGATGTGAAGTCTTTCATTCTTTGGC
Organism: Homo sapiens; assembly: GCF_000001405.40. Lineage (NCBI taxonomy): Eukaryota > Metazoa > Chordata > Mammalia > Primates > Hominidae > Homo > Homo sapiens. The sequence continues at coordinate 161,564,965 of NC_000006.12, forward strand.
CAATGCCTGTTTGTCCAGTTCAACCCTTCTAGTACTCAAATCCCGAAAATTCTTTGAGCCACTGGCATCTGTAACCAACTTTCCCTGTCCTCTCTCTCATCTGGGTTCTCTGCTTGCCCAGCTGAAATTTCATGGTCGGTCATAATCACTCCCTTAGATTCACCCTCAGCTTACACTGTTGTTGTAACACTGTAAGATGAGATCCACCCTCAGCTTCTTAGCCTCCCTCTTGTTTTTGTTACATTTTGACCGCAAAACTTCAATGCCAGTGCCTTTTCTGCATCTGTGCCTACACAGATGAGTGTGTCAGAAAAACACCCAGTGGATTGACCTCACTCCAAATTCAACCATTTCCCAAGTTTATTCCCTCCTCACCCTCCTAAATGACAATTTCATTATCCTCTCCTGACATGGTTTGGCTGTGTCCCCACCCAAATTCTCATCTTGAATTGTAATCCCCATAATGCCCACACGTCAAGGGCGGGACCAAGGGTGGAAGTGATTGGATCATGGGGATGATTCCCCCCATGGTGTTCTCGTGATGGTGAATGAGTCCTCACGAGATCTGATGGTTGTATAATTGGCTGGCATTTCCCCTGCTTGCACTTTTCTCTCCTGCTGCCTTTTGAAGAAGGTACCTTGCTTCCCCTTCGCCTTCCGTCATGATTGTAAGTTTCCTGAGGCCTCCCCAGTCATGTGGAACTGTGAGTCAATTAAACCTCTTTCCTTTATAAGTTACCCAGTCTCAGGCATTTACTTATAGCAATGTGAGACCAGACTAATACATCTCCTTTCCCTCTAAAACTCTTCCCCGATCTGTACTCTCAGCTGATGACCTAGCTTCCTGTTACACCAAGAAAAGAGAAACAACCAGCAGAGACCCTACGCAAGGTTTACCATCAAATCCAATGCTCATACGTCTGTGCCTGCATATTCTGTCTCCCCCACTGTTACCAGGCGGAACTGGCCACTCTCTTGTCCAAGCCCATGCCTACATCCAAGGACACTGCTCCTGAATTCTCCCTTCCCCCTTCTGCATCATCAGTCTCCCAACTCCTCTACTGAATCATTACCATCAGTACATAGACATGCTGCAATTTTTCCCATTAAGAAGGTCATTTTCTTATCTCCATCCCTCAGCTACCTCATTTCTTTGCTTTCCTCTTCAGCTAAGTTCCCAGTTGCCAAAATTAAAATGTATGTATTTGCAGTCTCCCACTCTTTGGTTCACCTCTCACATGAATCCATTCGAGGCAGGCTTTCCCCTCACTGCCCATGGTCAAGGTTACCAAGGACCTCCACATTGTGGAGTCCAGTGCTCATTTCTCATCCTTGTCCTTCTTGCTGAGCATAGGACACAGATCATGATTCCTCCTCCTAAAGATGCCTTCTTCCTTTGGCTCCCAGGTCATGATACCTGCCTGGATTTTTTCCCACCTTATTATCATTATTATTTTTCTGAGACAGAGTCTCACTCTGTCACCCAGGCTGGAGTGCATTGGCACGATATTGGCTCACTGCAACCTCCGCCTCCCAGGCTCAAGCAATTCTCCTGCCTCAGCCTCCTGAGTAGCTGAGATTACAGGCGCCCGCCACCACACCCAGCTAACTTCTGTATTTTTAGTAGAGACAGGGTTTCGCCATGTTGGTCAGGCTGGTCTCAGACTCCTGACCTCAGGTGATCCATTCGCCTTAGCCTCCCAAAGATGTGGGATTACAGGTGTGAGCTGCCACGCCTGGCCTCCTCCCACTTTATTATTGCAACCCTATCTCATGCAATGTGGCTCCTTCCTCTTTGTTTTGCTCTGTCCTCCTCCCCTCCCCTCCACCAGTCACACTTGTTTCTGGACTATTATGAATGTTAAAGCCAGGCACATGATCACATTGGAGCCTCTGTTGTTGCTTCATCCACTCTGTGGAAATCTCCTTTCCCAGATGTCACCATGAGGCTTCTCTGGATACCTTTCAGTCTTTATTCACCTGTCACCTGCTCAGTGAAACTTTCCCTGACCACCTTATATAAAATTTCACCTCTTCCTCCAGTATTCACTGTCCTTGTTTTTTTTTTTTTTTTGTGTGTGTGTGTGTGTGTGTGAGAGAGGGTCACTCTGTAACAAAGACTAGACTGCAGTGGCACAATCTTGGCTCACTGCAACCTCCACCTCCTGGGTTCAAATGCTTCCCATGCCTCAGCCTCCAGAGCAGCTGGGATTACAGGCGTGCACCACCATGCCTGGCTAATATTTTGTATTTTTAGTAGAGATGTGGTTTCACTATTTCACTATGTTGGCCAGGCTGGTCTCGAACTTCTGGCCTCAAATGATCTGCCTGCCTTGGCCTCCCAAAGTGTTATCATTACAGGTGTGAGCCACCACACCTGAGTGCTGTCCTTTTTCATTTCCTTTTTCTCCATAGCAATGATAGCCATCTAACATAATATACACTAAATGTGTTTATGTGTATATAATATGGTTTTCTCTAAGTAGAATATGGAGATTTTTCACTCCTCTATCCCTGTAACCTAGGATGGTATATAGCACATAGTAGGTACTCAGTAAGTATCAGCTGAAAGAAAGAAGGAAGTGTGTGTATGTCTGCATGTGTGTGTGTGTGTTTGCGCGTGTGTTTGCGTTTTAGGAAATAGAGATCAATATTGCTCTGATGCACTATATTACCAAAACTAATCGTAGTGATATTAATTTTGATTATGGCTCAATTAAATTTCTAGGAGAATGCAAAGTGACCTGACCTTTACAAAGCAGATCTGAGGAGATGATTACTGTTGGCTTCTTTCCTTACTAATTACCCATGGACTCTAAAACAAAAATGGAAACACTGCAAATATTGGTACAAGTTTGAAGAGAAGACTCCATTATCTGAGCAGAATTGTCAGGGTAACAACCAGTGATTCTTGCTTTAAGAAGTCTTTAGGCTTTCACTGGGAAATGGCTGTGAGATCCAGGTGTCTTCACAAGGAGTTATGTTTGGGAGAGTCAGTTGTCAACTTTTACCTGCAATACGGGATAACTGATTTCACTTGTATTTGAATATACATTTATGCCTGCTATTCTGGAAACTCACAATATAGAAAAATGAAGGGGATGTACTGTAATTCTCTAACTCCAGGATGTGGCAGTGATTCCAGTTTCTTATCCTCTCCTTACTAATCCTTTTGTTTTTATTCTCATATTGGAAATGGGCAGTTTTACTTTGCCACATACATACACCAAACAAAAACACACAAACCAAAAACTCATTGATGAAAGTGAGCTGCCACATCTCCATTTGCATATTTCCTGGTCAAAGTTGGCAGAGACAATCTTTAGGAGTAAAAATAAATAACACTGGGCTGGGCGTGATGGCTCACGCCTGTAATCCCAGCACTTTGGGAGGCAGAGGCAGGCGGATCATGACGTCAGGAAATCGAAACCATCCTGGCTAACACGGTGAAACTCCGTCTCTACCAAAAATATAAAAAATTAGCTGGGTGTGGTGGCGGGCGCCTGTAGTCCCAGCTGCTCAGGAGGCTGAGACAGGAGAATGGCGTGAACCTGGGAGGCGGAGCTTGCAGTGAGCTGAGATCATGCCACTGCACTCCAGCCTGGGCGACAGAGCAAGACTCCTTCTCAAAAAATAAATAAAATAAAATAAATAACACTGGAAGTTAGGTCAATCAGCCTTTTGCCAACTCTTTAGTGTATTTTAAGGATAACTTGACACCTAGATTTAACATACTAATACAGAGTTTGTAGTTCCATATAGGGATCAAGAAACGTATTTTTAAGCATTCCATACTATATATGTGTGTACATATATATAATATTTAGCACCCTGAATTATTTACTTAGCATATCTATTTAAATTATGACACGCCTCACTGAGCACAACACAGCATTTAAATAATCCACTTCAAATGGTCACCCTTTGTATAGACGTCACATGTTCATACCCGTGTACAAAAGGCTGCCATGAAATACAGATAACAAACACCCAATACAAAAACCTGGTAAAAAAAAAAAAAAAATGCTCACACATTCACCCACAGACAGCAACTTAGGAATGTCTATGACCATCGATCCCTCAGGCATAATTCATCTCTGCATTTATTTGTTTGCTCATCTGCCACTATGCAGTGCTTGCTTCCTGCTTGAGTCTTGAGATGAAATGCACTGCACTGGCAGATAGCAGATGTAGCAATTAATAACCTGTCAGGTCTGATGGATAGAAGAGGAAAAAAGTGTCCTCACACATATCTCCAGCATGGTTTTCTTCCCCATTTCAGGGCACCCAGGGTCAGGAGACATACTCGGCCTCCCTGGGGAGCCCAAACTGTCTCATTAGCGTCTATCTTTCATGACAGTCTGATGCAGCCTTTGAGATGCTCACTCACCTGCTCTTCTCCCAGAATCCTGAAGTGATGGAGCTCTTTAATCAAGGAGTTGGGACAGCCAGCTGTTGGAAAGAAGAATTAATCACAAAAACGTCACTTTCACTCTGTGTGGTTATATGTTCTTACACAGAGTTATGACTATCAACTGCCAGTGTTGCCTTTTGGGAGGACACAGACGTGTACCTGAAAAACACACATCTAACCAACCACAAAAAAAGCCAAACCCTCAAAAGAGCTATGGCCGCTGCCTGGCCTCCAACCGCACCTCTTTAGAAAACAGTTGCATGTGACCCTGGCCAGGCTTTCTCTCCCCTCTGATTATGATCTGGCCTTAGGATGTCATGCCACTCTGGTTCTTAGAAACATGTTCAGCATGTCACTGGTTCCTCATATATAGCCAGGATTCCGCAGGGCCAGAGTAGGGGAGTTGGTGACCACAGGCTCTGACTTATTCATCATGTCCTGTTTGCTCACCATCAAGGCCAGGGGCCTGCTCATTGAGAGGTAAGAGCAAAGGTCGGGTAGCTACACATCCATTCTTTGGGGGGCTCAGCTGGCGGTTAGTACCTTGCCTGGTTTTGTCAAGAGGCTTTGTGAAGACCTATTAGATCTTGCGTTTGAGTTTGGAAAGGGCATCTTACGGAAGGACCAAGAGAGAAGGCCCAGCAGTTCTGGTGCCTATCACTTTCTCGTTCCACCCAATCAATCCAAGCTCCTTCAGACTTTCACCTTTTCCTTCTTCAGTTGTAAAACAAAGTAAGTAAATAGGTAAAAAAAAAAAAAAAAAAAAAAATATATATATATATATATATATGCACACATACACACACAATTAAAATACGTATGTATAAAATATTATATAATTATATTTAATGTATAGATATGAGTTATATATATTTTTATATAACTCACATATATAAATTATATATGTAAATATATAATTTTATAGAATTATATAATTAATATAAATATTGGCCTAAATATATATATTTATATATAATAATATAACATATATAATAAATATTCTATGTAAAATAAAATACAGTTGACCCTGGAACAACATGGGCTTGAACTTTGTGGGTCCACTTATACACAGATTTTTTCTTCTGCCTCTGCTACCCCTGAGACAGCAGGACCAACCCTTCCCCCTCCTCCTCCTCCTCAGCCACTAGCTGTGAAGAGAATGAAGATGAAAACCTTTATGATGATCTGCTTTCACTTAATGGATAGTTAATACATTTTCTCTTCCTGATGATTTTCTTAATAACATTTTCCTTTCTCTATCTTACTTTAAGAATATAGTATATAATACATATGACCTATAAAATATGTGTTCATAGACTATTGATGTTATAGGAAGGGCCTCTAGTCAACAGTAGGTTATTAGTAGTTAAGTTTTGGGTGAGTCAAAAGTTCCACATAGTTTTTTGACTTCAGGGATGTTGGTGTTCCTAAGCCTCACATTGTTCGAGGCCCAAATGTATAGATATGTAAAATTTAGGCCAGTATATGCTTAATATCATTTAAAATGTGTTGCATCCCTGTCTTTTCAATAGAACTATTCCTCGATATTAGGTTGTAGTCATTTATACTATTATTTTTTTGAGTCAGGGTCTAACTCCAGGCTGGGGTGCAGTGTGTAATCATGGCTCATTGCAGCCTTGACCTCCTGGCTGAAGGTACCCTCTTGCTTCAGCTTCCTGAGTAGCTGGGACTACAGGTGTGTGCACCACCAAGCCTGGCTAAGTTTTTTATTTTTTCCTAATTTTTTGTAGAGATGGGGTCTCACTATGCTGTCCAGGCTGGTCTCAAGCTCCTGGGCTCAAGTGACGCTCCCGCTTCAGCCTCACAAAGTGCTGGGATTATAGGCGTGAGCCACTGTAACTGGCTTATTTATATTATTCTCTCTGGAAACAAAATTGATATAAAAACCTGTTTCTTTGAGATAAGACCTATGGATTATATAATCTGTTGAACTTCCTAGTAAGGAAACTGGATTGTATGCAGGACATATCAACTAAATTATGGAGCCATTTCTCATATTCCTCAGCATTGTGATGTGAGAGTGGTCAGAAGCCCTGAGAGTGTTTGTCTGGGGGAGGGCAGGCTGAGGAATGAGAAAACCTGTATTCACACAGGTGAAGGTGCTCATTGCGATACAGATTAGATCTGTGCATTGTTTCAGAGAGTAGGATTTAAACCAACAGAAGAAAATGGAATAAACTGCCTTATAAGACAGTAACTGCAGGTTTTTCAACACATGCTAAATGAATACTTATGTAGGATATTTTAGAGAGGAATTTTACTGGGTATGATGATGAATTTATGTGTCTACTTGATTGGGCTAAGGGGTGCCCAGATAGCTGATAACATGTTATTTCTGGGTGGGTGTGTGAGAGTGTTTCTGGGAGAGACTGGCATCTGAGTCTGTGGACCAAGAAGATCCACTCTCAGCAATGTGGGCAGGCATCGTCCCATCCACTGAGGGCACTGAGGGCCTGCACAGAACAAGAAGGCAGAGAACGGTGAATGCTCTTTCTCTTCTAGAGCCTTAAAGATCAGATTTCCTGGTTCTCAGGCCTTCTGACTGCAAGACATACACGACTCCCAAACCTGCTGCCCCTAGTTGTCAGGCCTTCAGACACAGACTGAATTAGACCAAAGGCTTTCCTGGTTTTCCAGCTTGCAGATGGCAGATTGCAGGACTGCTTGGCCGCCATAATTGTGTGAGCCCTTCCCCCAGTAAACGTCCTCTTGTCTCTTTCTCTTTATAGATCCTATAGACAGAAAGGTCCTGTTTCTTGGGAGAAGCCTGACTAATACACTGAGTTATTTCCAATTCCAAAATTCTATGGTCATGTAAAATGCTGGAACATAGCTTTAGCCTATATTATATAACATTTCATATGTTGAGAAAGTGCTTCACAAATGTTTACTGAGTAGTACAAAAGATTACAAAAATGTGAACAAAATTTAAACACACGTGTAAACAGGTGATGCCACCAAGAAAATAAATAAAAATCCTGGCCGGGCATGGTGGCTCACACCTGTAATCCCAGGACTTTGGGAGGCTGAGGCAGGAGGATCACAAGGTCAGGAGTTTGAGACCAGCCTGGCCAACATGATGAAACGCTGTTTCTACTAAAAATACAAAAATTAGTCAGACATGGTGGCGGGCATCTGTAATCCCAGCTACTTGTGAGGCTGAGGCAGGAGAATCGCTTGAACCTGGGAGGCAGAGGTTGTGGTGGGCTGAAATTGTGCCAATGCACTCCAGCCTGGGCAACAACAGCAAGACTCTGTCTCAATAAATAAATAAATAAATAAATAAATAACCCAAGTGAATATTTTACTGGAAAACATAATACATTAGCTTTCACAGGCATGTCTGGTACTGTAGAGAAGGAAAACCAGATCCTTCAAGTGAGAAACAGATGCTTGAGCTGAGTGCTTCTCCAACTAGAGACCACGGAGACTTGCAGGCTGAAGATTCTTTTTGAGAAGTTGTTGATTTTGGGGTTGCTATTCTGATGATTACCTAAACAATAGTAAAAATATATTCTGGATCATTTGACTGGCTTCAGTTCAAACAAAAACTGCTGTGAAATTCAGCCTCAAGTCAGTTCCTGTGCTTTGGATCTCTTTGGGAGCAAGTCATCATAGTTTAGTTTCCTGAAATGAGTGAGAAAAGAGTGGATAGAAGGCAAGGGAGGCTTCCCCTGCCAGTGACGTCCCATGGTCTGGGGCCGAGTGTCCGAAGGGTAGAGTCACAGGAGAAGTTGTGGGGGAAGGGAGGCAGCCTACAGCTCAGGGTCCCAGGCCTGCTGAGATGGAACATTTGAATCTGGGCCAACTCATCAGGGCCCTGTTCGGATCCCAAGCACTGCTTTAGTGTCAGTAAAATGACAGCCTCTGGCGTATTAAATTGATAGAGTCCATCAGAATATTTTGGTCTTGTACTTTCAGTTATATTTAATTGATATGTTTTTATTTGGGCCTTCTAGTTGTATAAGCATAAAGTATTTATAGCTCAGTTTATATCTAGACACATTGAAGACATATTGTCTTAAAAATAATTTCATTCGGCCAGGTGCGGTGGTTCACGCCTGTAATCCCAGCACTTTGGGAGGCAGAGGCAGGCAGATCACGAGGTCAGGAGATTGAGACCATCGTGGCTAATACAGTGAAACCCCGTCTCTACTAAAAATACAAAAAATTAGCCTGGCGTGGTGGCGGGCGCCTGTAGTCCCAGCTACTCGGGAGGCTGAGGCAGGAGAATGGTGTGAACCCGGCAGGCGGAGCTTGCAGTGAGCCGAGATGGCGCCACTGCGTTCCAGCCTGGGCGACAGAGCGAGACTCCGTCTCAAAAAAAAAAAAAAAAAAAAAAAAAAAAAAAAAAAAATATATATATATATATATATATATATATATATATATATATAAAACTTCATTCAACCTTGGGTGTTTTGGAGAATTTTTTGTTTCTTTACAAGCGGTCTTTTATGTCACTCAAACTTGAGAAAAATGGCTTTATTTTAATCCTGCATAAAATAAGAAACACAATTTTAAATTAGCTTATCTTCAGAATGTGTATTCTGGCTGTCTCCTAAGATACAAGTGAAAGGACTGATGTTGATGATAGCTCGTATATAAACATCTTTAACAGAAGACTAGATAATTACTTGAAACACCTGGTAGGTTCAAAAAAACAACAAACAAGACTAGACACAGCATAGACTTAGATGAGAAGAGCTGGAAGGCGGCAAGATATTTAAGAAGACCGTGGACGGCTATCTGCAAACTGTGCTCATCACAGGGACACTAGTGTGGGAAATGGCCAGATATAAACTCAGTGTGAAGATGGGGCTTAAAAATAACAAAACTGGAACTGCAAGACGGGCCCACAGAATGCATTCGCGTAGGGAGACAGGAAAACGTTAGCGGAGGGGGCGGAGGTGGCAGAGAGGAAAACATGGGCCTGGCGAATAAAAACCACAGTACTACTTCTGGATTTGGAGCAATAGAGACCATGTCCGATCCTTCCATGCCCTTTAAGCATCACCTCCCTCACATATGGGTTCTTCTGCATTGATTTTTGGTAAATCTGCGTTGACTCTTAATGACTGCATATTACTTTACGTAATGAGTATTCCTGATGAAATTCGTGAGTAAGCGCTCACATGATTTTTTTCTTTGGGTGTTTGATGGGTGAAACTGGTATCAAACTCACTGCTTTTCAACTTTTGAGATTCAACTTTTCCTCATTCTGAAAAGTTAAAAAATCATCTCCGGAACTCTGAACTCTTTATTGTATCTCAAAGATTCCCGGCAGCATCTCTGAGACTATAATAGAAGTGTTTGGACATCTATTGGCATTTAAAATATTTGTATATGCCATATTATGTCATCATTTTTCTTAAGCACAAGGTTCTCCTTAAATTGTTATTCTGTCCTTTCTAACATGGGACATATTCTCTTTGCTCAAGAAAACAGAACACACAGGAATCGAGTAGTGTTTTTACCTACTGACACTGTGTTAGCTTTCTTGACAAGAGCCTATTCTTCTCTATCTTTTCCCTCTTTTCTTGTCCTGGACTCCACTTTTAAAGCCCGTCCTGCTGTCCTTGGAAATTTAAAAGAGAATGTCACCTCTTTCCGTGCCATCCTCATGCCGTGCTCACAAGTTTGTGCTCTTCTGTCGTGTTTTTCCTCTAGTTATTAAACCCATCACTCAACTGTTGCCTGTGTTTTCTAAAAATCTGAGCTCATTGGTGTTCAATGAATACCAGCTTTTTGGTGTTAAAAATGAATAAGACAATTTGTTAAAAAGCATATAAACACAGGATTGAATCTTATTTTAAAGGACAACTGCGAAACTGGGCTCTATATTTCAATTAGTATCTGTAATCAACATTTACTTTTATTCTGTTGCTATACCATAAAGGTCATTTTATCATCTAACGGGGAAGCTCCTCAATGAAAACGCGTCACAAAGTTGTGTAGCATTTCCACAAAGTCACTGACAGCTACTGAGAAAAAGCAACCCCAAACAAAACAAAACAAAACAAATACCTTTGAGAGATTAACTGAGCCATAATGTTTTCAGAAAGCTTTCGGTGAATTTCCTCAACAATCATGCTGTAAAGTAGGGAAAACTCATTTGGAAAATATATTCCATTGAGAAGCATTAAAAACCACATGAGTCTTCGATCACTATTTTTCCTTTTAATTTCTTTGCAAGTCATCACAGGAGCAATTGTGATATCCTTTGGGTTCAATGGAAAATCGTGAGCACCCAGGCTTGGGATAGAAATGGAAATGGATTTCAGCTCTCTGATGTGCTCCTGGCACTGGTCACATGACACAAATAATCTGCAATTTGCAGATTGCTGCTGTTTGGTGCGAAACGCTTTGAGGATTAATTTCTCTCTCGGCTATAGCTTAGAATCCCTAATGTGGGCTTGACAATTACAGTGACCTTCTATTTCCCCCCTAAGTACAACTTAGAAAAGGAAACCGACTAACGACAAAATGGCATCAAAAATAAATGAAGATTCAATGTGATCGAAGACAATGCAGCGAGACTGAACACTGACCTCTGAGCACAAGCCAGAGAGCATGGGCCACATGTGCAGGCTGGGCTGCAGCAGTGAAGGAATCCAGTGGGCGGCTTGCTACTCCAGCTAAGCCAGGTTGATTAGGGTTGCCATACACTGTGCTGAAGTAGCCATTTCTGAATTAGTCTGAGAGCCAGGCGTTAATAGGATCCCTGGAAAACTCACTAAGCTGTCTCGACAGAGTAATTGCATTCAGTCAGCAGCAGGACTTTACAGAATCAAGTTTAAAGCATTATCGTTTTCATAAATAAAGCCAAGCTTATTTTAATCCTTTCTCTCTGCTGATGGGTTTTTATTTATAAAGGATTATTCATGCATTCTTTCTCCGTAGCCAATACTTGCTGTCTCAAGATATCCTAAGCCAGTTAAGGAGAATCTTGAAGATACTCACCTTCCACCTAATAATGTACTTACAGGTATACACACGGGAGAGTAACTTACATGGTTACACAAGGAGATATGGAATAGAATATTTACTGCGACATTTTTGTAATAACAGCAACAACAAAACGACACATCTAAAATGACCATCAACAGAAGAAGAGATAAAATCATTCAACAAATAGCCATTGTGCACCCACTTTGTGCCAGGCACTATTACGACACTTGGGTCGCAGCCGTGAAAAATTAAAACAGACAAAAATCCCTCATTGGAGCTTGCATTCTAAAGGGGCGAGAGACAATAAAAATAAACTAATAAGTAGGTAAATGAAGTAACATTTTGGATGGTCATTAGCACTGTGTGGAAAAGAGAAAATACAACAGTATAAAGGGCAGGGTTGGCTAACGTAAAAGTAAGTGTTCATTTCTTATTGAGACCATGACACTGAAGCACAGATTTTTAGGAATTGAGTTAATATGAGTTAGCTAGAGTGAAATGTATCAAAACAGGTAAATCTCAAAATCATAAAGTTGAGAAAAAAGTTGCAATCGTTTATGCACAATGCAATGTCATTTACAGAAAGTTTAGAGAATCTATTAAACAATGTCGATGCACGCAAATATACTAAGAATATAAAATAATGCCTGCAAATGATAAACGCCCCTGAAGTATGTATCAAATTGAAGGGAAGAGGAAAGAGGAACAGGACCATAGAAGGGCACTGCTATTCAAATCTGTCTTAAAGTGTATTACAATAATTGTTAAAAAGAAAAGCTAATACTTCTATGATGCTTAGTAGGAACAAAACACTCTTCACAGTGTTATGCATGTAATTCATTTACTACTCATGACAACCCTATAAGGCAGGTACTATTTTTATCCCCATTTTAAAGATGGCGAAATCGAGGCAGAAAAAGAACTAAACTAATGAAGTCATCAAAGCCGGGTAGTGTGTACATGGACATTGATTATGCTACTTTAAATATCTAACTGGATGTCTGGAACTTTTCATAATAAAAATCTCTAGATGAAACCTTTAAAGTACATCTAAAAATAACCTTGGAAAAGGCTGAATAAAAATTCAATAACGTATAGACCTGAGTTTGTGAACATATATGAGCATGAATGTAGTCTGGAGAAGGAAAACCTTCCAATACAACCACTAATTAGTAGACATAACTTATCTGAGTAGTATAGCATGAAACTTTGTAAATTTTGATGCTTTCAGAATAAGCTGAAAGAAGCCATGAAATATTATCTATTCAATTTCTTACTTGTAGATGAGGCAGTTACCAGTCCAGAAGATGCGAAGTATCTTTTAGGAGCTCAGCATAGTGTGTATGAAGCTCAGATAGCTGTGATTTCATAATTTATATTAAAATTGATGCAGATTGGTATTTTCTGGTTTTTTGCAGCTGCTGTATTAATCCAAACATCCTTGCTGGGTCAGCTTCTAGTGGCTATGAGACTATCCATCTTCCAATGAGGTGCCAGGGAAGAATCAGTCTCATTGATAATGAGACACGATCAGAAATTTTCATTTCACAAATAATATTATCCTTATTGGCCGGAGGTGAATTCCAAGTAAATATTCATTGATTCTTCATCGAACAACTCTTGAGTGTACACTTACTATGCGTAACGCCAGGGGCCATAGAGAAATCATAAATGAATCAGACAGGGATTCTGCCTTCCTGGAGCTTGCAGAAGAAATAAGACGCACACCAACAAACCAAGTAGATGTAGAAAGAGCCAAGTGAGCAGAGAGCAACCAAAGAGGTATAAAAAAAGAAAAAGAGGAGGTGGCTTGGAATCAAAGAGGCCAAAGCCTGGAGTGTTTGAGGAATCCAAGCAGCTGCTTGGCTGCAGATGAGAATTGAAAGCACCTGCATACACACAGCCTACCTACTGGGGCTGAGAACTGAGACCACTGAGACCTAATTATTTGTTCCAGAAGAATTCTGCCCTGGAAGATAAGCTTGTAAAGCAATAAATAACTTCACTGTTTGCTTCAAGAAACTCCTGCAAATAATTTAACCAGACAGTTTGCTCATCTGAGTAGCCATCTCTCTTAACAGGAAATCAGACGGTTCACCTGGGCAATAATAGCTCTTGTATAAGACAACAGTTTCCTTATGAAGGCTTCCTTAGGACTTTGTCTCACTGTGTCCACTGACCCCAAACTACTATGTCATTGATCTGCTCAACTCCAATCAGTTTCCCACTTGAAAGATCTGCAATAAGCGCTTAAGCCCAGATCCCCAGGCTCTATGAACACCCTCCCCTGACCTCTCTTTCCTGTGACACCTCCATGACTGTCCACACGATGGTGTCACTTCCTGCACTAGATCTAATCAGCGCTGCTCTGCAATAGATTTTCTGTGGTCATTTGGGAGGTTTGAGACAGAGGACAAGGTAGAACATGCAGTAACAAAAGATGAAAAACACTTCTCATTTTTCTTATTTGTATGTCATTACAATGTCAAAACAACTTAAATATTTTGAATTGTGTGTATATTCTTGGCGCTTTGCCTTCACCTTTGAATTTCATAAAGTTCTTCCTTTGTTATTGACCTATATTTTGAGTGATTGTGATGATACATTTTACAGGGCAAGTGTTTTCAACATCCAGCATCCCTCAGATCACAAATTTAATTTGGCTGGTCAACACATGAGTGGCCACTGGGAATGGGAGGCTCTCAGAGTGAAAAGGGATCCTTATCCATTATTTTCTTTCTCCTGCTGCTCTCAAAAGTTTGTCCTTGGTTGACATCAGAGAAAGGAAAGGGAGGAAGTGAAGGAGATGGAATTTTGTGCTCTCTTTAATATGTTTTTCCACAGATTATGGTGGTTGGTTGGTTACCTGAGTGAAAATGTCAATGTCTAGTTAACGTTGGGGGAAAGAGAATCTGTGGGACTGTCATCCCCCAAGTGGGTGTAACCAAAAAGGGCACTTAGGTTAGGCACATCCCTGTCAGATAAGGCCTAGTTAAATAGGGTCTAGAGGGTCAGCGGGGCACCTAATTATCATGGTTAATGAGGTTTCTTTAGGAGAAAAGAATTCTGAGTTCCAAACAATGTATAGACATGAACATTTATGGAACACTCCCCTGTTTATAAACTGGAAACTTGTGTAATTTATATTTGTACCCTATACTTCGCCATAGAGTGTGCTCTGTAAACTGGCCTTCCTTGTAGGGCATGTTCCTGAATAGGGCATATTCAGGCACTATTAAGTTTGGGAAAATAAATCATATCCAAAACCAGTATTAAATAAATATAAGTCATCGGACTTTAGGAATTGATGCAATTCCTTAAATGGAGGAATTTCTTAAATGGACACAATTCCTTAAAAATGAGGTAAAGAGAGGGGCTGGGGGTAAAGTGGAATGGGGCAGGGGAACAGAAAAGAGTTTATAGTTTTACAAGTACTTAATGGTATTTTTTGTTTTTGAATTTTGTATTTTAAATTCATTTCAGTACTTTCCCTTGTCACTTTAGTTCTGTGCATTTGGTTTCTTTTATTCATCTTAGCGTAGGCATAACTGCATTCATTACTGAAAGGCATCTTTCAAATTCTTATAAAAAACAAAACCCATGTAAGCACTCTAAATATTGCCACTTAAATTCATCACTGCTTTTATATAGCATCCCTGCTTTTATATATTTAGAGTGTATATGCTGGGGTGAGATACATTTGAAAGAGATTATGAAAATAAAACAAAAATCCAATTTAAAAGACAACTAATAGCTTCTATGATGCGGGAAAACCCACACAGCTTTGAGTATATTGTTAATTACACTATGGTTTGATTGCCCAGATCTTTGCATTTTATCACGAGAATTAGTAATTATTCTTTATTTTAATTAGCCAAAATGATGAATCTGAGCACGTCTCATCTGTCAGAGAGTTTTACCAATGAGCTCAAATTTGCTATCCATGTTTTGCAGTGCAGCATCACAAGTGTTCAACCAGGTGCCTCTAAAACACGAGACCTTGAGCCTTGGTATGCGGCTCAGGTGACTGCACCATGGCCCTGGTATAAGCAATTCCAGACAGTTAAATCCAGCCCTTCATCCTGCACACTTACATAAGAAATTCATTTATAGACAATTTTTTTGTTGTTGTTTGTTTGTTTTTTGACACGGAGTCTCGCTCTGTCACCAGGCTGGAGTGCAGTGGTGCAATCTCGGCTCACTGCAACCTCTGCCTCCCAGGTTCAAGCGATTCTCCTGTCTCAGCCTCCCCAGTAGCTAGGACTACAGGCGCCCTCCACCATGCCAGGCTAATTTTTTTGTATTTTTAGTAAAGATGGGATTTCACCGTGTTAGGACAGGATGGTCTAAATTTCTTGATCTCATGATCCACCCGCCTCGGCCCCCCAAAGTGCTGCGATTACAGGTGTGAGCCACCGCACCCAGCCCAAAAATTTGTTTTAAGCAAGCACTTATCAACTAGAAAATGAAGCTCAATAGACACGGATATCGTTGGTGTGTCAAAGCTGAAGATTATCCTAGGAAAAACTTTCATCTATCTGTGTTTGTGTATTTACAACTTCCTCTATCATCCAGACATGGTGGCTCACACCTGTAATCCCAGCACTTTGGGAGGCCAAGGCAGATGGATCACCTTAGGTCAGGAGTTTGAGACCAGCCTGGCCAACACAGTGAAATCCTGTCTCTACTAAACACACACACACACACACACACACACACACACACAAAATAGCCAGGCGTGGTGGCATGCCCTTGTAATCCCAGCTACTGGGGAGGTTTGAACCTGGGAGGCAGAGGTTGCAGTGAGCCGAGATTGTGCCACTGCACCAGCCTGGGCAACAGAGTGAGACTCTGTCTCAAAAAAAAAAAAAAAGTTTCTCTATGTATCAATTTTTATTTTAAGAACTTTCATAGGCATGAGTAAAGCTACTGCAGTGAAAGAACCTGTCAAAGGTCATTTCACTACTTCTGTGCTGTCCTTTTGGTCTAAGTTCACAAAGTGTTTGTCTCCATTGTATTTGCTGTTTTTGTGTTTGGTTATTTAGTGACTTTAAAAATGTCAATTAACTACCATGCCCAATAAGTACATAAGCAAAAGGAGTTTTTTTGAGAAGTGTTGAGAGAGAAGAGGCCTGGAATCTAAAAACACAGATAATGTGCTGAACGGAAGAAGGTCACGGAAGAGGATATGCTGAAGTCTGAGGTTTGAGTCACTGGACAATCAGAAGCAAAGACTTACTTATGGACAAGGTGAAGGGCGTTGGGCCTATGTCATCAACAGTGAGCAAGAGACAGGAAATAGAATGGAAGAAATGAAGGAAAAATGGAATCGCTGGCCTGAGAATGAACATCAGCAATTGGTGTTGACTCAGAAGGCTGAGATTCTGTTTGAGGACTTAAAGGTGAGGGATGGGAAAGTGGTCCTGCCGAGCTGCTAGTGCAGAGGGTGTGGAAGCCATGCTAAGCTAGTGAGTTCTGACAAGGGCTCCTTTCCTGCTTCAGGTTTTATCACCCACTCAATATTTACTGCGCAGAGAGCTGAGGACACACATTAATGAAACAGTCCACTCTTCACAGTGCTTAGGGCGTCCTTCGCTCATACTTCTTTGAACATATCCACTCTCTTGTCTATTTTACATTATAACACCTCCAGATCAGAGAAGGAGTTTTTGACTTAACTTGTTACTCCCCAGCTCACCGTGCCCAGAGCTCCACGCATGACTGAATGGTGAATTTGGAATCATTGCTTTCATCTACTGGTTTTTACCAAAGTGTAAAGTGCATTTTCTAAATGGCTCTCTGGCTCACAGAAAGTAACAGTTTTAAAGGAGATATTTTAAAAGGTAGAATTTCCAATGACAACCCAATTCTTTGGATAATTCGTCTTATTTTATAATAGCAGAAACATTCCTATATGAGAACACCAACTCTTGTTAAAACATTGAGATTACCTTGAAACAATTTAGAGTCTCTAAAGTTGAAAGTTCTTCTTTGAAGATCTATACATTACAATGTTGGGCGCAGCAGATATAATCTGAACTAGGAAAGACTGCATCTGCAGACTATTATTATTATTATTATTATTATTATTTTTGAGACAGAGTCTCGCTCTGTCGCCTAGGCTGGAGTGCAGTGGCGCGATCTAGGCTCACTGCAAGCTCCGCCTCCCAGGTTCACGCCATTCTCCTGCCTCAGCCTCCCAAGCAGCTGGGACTACAGGCGCCTGCCACCTCGCCTGGCTAATTGTTTTGTAGTTTTAGTAGAGATGGGGTTTCACCATGTTAGCCAGGATGGTCTCGATCTGCTGACCTCGTGATCTGCCCGCCTCGGCCTCCCAAAGTTCTGGGATTACAGGTGTGAGACACTGCGCCTGGCCTGCAGACTATTATTAATTTTATAATAAGGATAAATGAAACCAGACGTAAGTGTCATACATGCATGAATTGAGTTCAGAGCTGTCGTCTTATGACTCAGATCCATGTTCACCCAGGTTGGGAAGCTCAATGCTGCATCCATGTAGCTGATCCCAGCATAGGCCTGACATAGGAAAAAGACTATGGGAGCCCTTGTGCCAGTGACTAAATTCCAACCAGCATCTTTCCAGTGAGATGGCCTATTCCAACACACACACACACACACACACACACACACACACACACACACACACACACATACACATTTTGTAAGATCTTGAAAACCATAAACCAAAATAGATCCATGATTTACTGGTTAATTTTTTGATGATGAACTATAGAGCATTACCAAAAAGCCTAAAATGTTTTTCTGTTTGACTTTCATGCCTTACTTTTTTTCTTTCTGGTGATATGATGTCACTCTGAGCACACAGGGCATAGGTTATATATAGTTCCTTTAGATTCTCTTTAAAACTTTCAGGAACAATGAAAAATAATATATCGACTAGGTAGCAGTTAGGACAAATGGTGTTAAGCTGTTCTAAAAAGACAATGTTTAAGCTAAAAAACACATCTTGGGATAAGAAATAAAGAAAATTCAGTTACATAATGGCACTATCAGGGTATAGCATCAAGGCATATGTATTTTTCTCTTCTCTTCTTAGAAGCGTTGGTGTCAGATTATCATTTCCAGGTTTTTTTTTTCCTATTTAGGAGAAGTTCAGGAAATGCTTAATATTTACAATTCCCTTTTTAAAGGTGTTTTTCAAAATTAAAATAGCTTTGTTTTCATTGCCATTATAAAATATTAAAATAGTTGAGAAAGGTAGAAATTAGCAATTTTACCACCCAGAGACAGTCACCAGTATTTTTTTATGAATCATCTCCTAGATAACTCATTGCATGCCCTTACATCAATACACATAGGATATTAAGGATGTTGCATCATACTATGCATGACATTCTGTAACTTGTTTTTTCCACCTAATAATAGGAATGGGCATCATTTCATGTCAAATGATACAGACATACATCATCGTTTTTAATGGCTACGCACCTTTGCAATATCCTTGAGGCAAACCCTAATGATCATATTGGTGTCAGTGAGTCACCTAGACATGCATATTTGCAAACCATTCAGAGGCATTAAATTGGACACACTCCCCAAAGTGCGACTACCACCGGGTTAAAGTATCGTTCCATTTAACATTTCCATCATTCCTGCCAAAACACTCTTCAGAATTTGTCTACAAACTTAACACCACCAATCACAGTGAGGCCAATGTCCCCCAGTTTCCCAGAGTATTAGAGACACAACCCTCCCCTCCTTGGTTGTATGTGTATTCATCTCTTCTTCCTTCCTGAGATGAAGCTTGGCATCACTCCACTCTGAAAGAAATGAGAACCGTTTTTGCATTTCACCTTAATCAGATCAAATTAGGACAGGTGGCAACCCTGCAGGCAACATAATTATGAAAAATGTCTGTGCTCAATACAGCCTGTCCTTCCAGCTTCCCAATCAAATAGGACACCAGAGCCCAACCTTTCTATTTCAGCTGGTGACTCATAGAGCAGTCACCCACATAATTGCTCTGAATATAATGGTGCTGCAAAATCTGAAATTAAACATAATATAAAAAGCACAAAAATCTATTTTGTAAGATTAGTTAATTTAATATAATAATAGTTCTTCTATTATAATCTTCATGTGCCAAATTGGGGGAAAAAACCTTATGGCTGGCCTGTTATTAGAAGAAAATCTTTTAACATATCCCCCTTACACTTGCCATCCAAAGGTAAAAAGAAATGATGTTGAGGATTTCCTGGTTTTATTGTAAGAGAGTAGCTGTTGTCCCTCCAATAAAAAGTGTGCAATGAATATCTGTTTAAATAGATTTGAGATAAGCTGAAGCTGGATACAAAACTCCATTATACAACAGGGGGATCCTACATCCAGCTTCATTTAGGATATTGCTTCTCAGAAGACATCCCGAACACCTCAATAACAAATGTTATATTGAAAATGTGCTCAGTAACAATTGCGGGATGAGTCTCTGTGCAGCGATTTTTCAGCATGTCAAAATTATACTATCACACCATGGAAACAAATTAAACAGCACAAGCCTGGCTGCCGGGATGGCTGTATTAGCAATGCAGTGCTATTTCATAAAGAATGCATTGCTTCAGATCTGTCAATGAATGTCAACAATGGCTTCTCCATTTGTATGAAGCCCAATTTGTATTTGGAGAAAAACCAAACAGAACACTTCAGAATCTGGTTCCATTTCTTCCCAACATTTAGATTAAAAGAAAAAAGCCCGGTTATCTAATTTATCTGTAGTCAGCGTTCCTTTTCTAGGGAGGCACTTGGGAGGAAGCCTCAGAGTGTGAGTTAAGCACTAACATTCTCTTTCTGAAGCACACGGGCACCATTAAATGCTTACTGACAGCTCAGAGAAAACACAATCTATGTGCTACACATTGTACAAGAAGGTTTTGTTGATATATTAGATTCATATATGTGAGCTTTGGTTTTCTTGTATTTGTGAAACGTGGCTTAGCTGTGTATTATGGCTTTTTGTGACTAATGAGTGGGTCTTGCTTCAGAAATGATTACAGTTATGTCAGAATAATGTCAAATAATCAGTATTAGTAGATGAGCTCTTAGAAAACAGAAGCCCTCTTTTGCAGATAGATATGTCATACCAAAGAGAAATTAAAACCCAAGACTATTCTAAACGCCAAATAGAGTCTGCTATATTCACATCTCAAATTTTGTGTATCTAACAATTAAGTTAAATAGTGATTGTCAATTAAATAGCGTTCAAATTGTAGCTCAAACCGAATAAGAATTTCTTGTCCCTGGAGTGGATGTATGTAGACATCAACATTTTAAGACACAAAGGGATGATGAGTTTCAGGCTTTGTTGCAGAAGTTTGGACAGCCGTTTGGCTCTTCCCTAGCAGTCCTGAAACACATGAAGTAGGTGGTCCTCCTGCCTCTTGCCTTTTTATTTTCTACAGCTGGCTCGATTACAGCCCTGAGGACTTGACACAGCAGAAGACAACCCAGCCAGGCAGCAGGTTCAATACACAGCTGAAATCTCACTGACCTCTACATATTTGGCTCCAGTAACCTCTTATGTATGTATTTATTTTTTAAGATCATGTTCTCAGT